>NC_000010.11:2282727-2434242 GCF_000001405.40 Homo sapiens | reverse complement strand
TTCTCCTCCCAGGTTCAAGCAATTCACCTGCCTCAGCCTCCTGAATAGCTGGGATTACAGGCACGCAGCACCACACCCGGCTAATTTTTGTATTTTTAGTAGAGATGGGTTTTTGCCATGTTGGTCAGGCTGGCCTCGAACTCCTGACCTCATGACCCGCCTGCCTCAGCCTCCAAAAGTGCTGGGATTACAGGCATGAGCCATTGAGTCCGGCCTTCTAATGGGTTTCTAAAGTAGCTTGCATTCCATGCTTCTCTAGGAGGCTGTCTCCTTTCTGCAGTGACATCCCAAGGCGGAACCCACTCTGCTGAAAATAAGAACATTTCCAGGACAGCTTCTAGGCTCAGGAACCTACAGGCAAGCTCCTGGTTCACATCGTGTTAGCAAGGAGTTTGTTGTTTATAAAACATGCCCATATGCGTTGTATGGTATAATCAGCGCCACAAGGCATCATATTTCCCAATCAGGCAGCCTAATGTAAGTAACGGAGGTGGCTGTTACCCGGTTATCCCACTAAGAAGTAAAGTGATCTTGGACTCCTAACTCCTAATTAAGGCAGTTGTTTTTTTTCACCACATAATGTGATATAAAATACCATAAATATGATATTAAATATCTTTGCACATACTCAGCCTTCGAAAACTTCAAAAGGTTAAAATTTAGACTTAATTGCAGTTTTATAAAAAATGATTTTTAATTTAACCTAACAGGAATCTAACTTCATAGTCACCTTGTACAATAAATGATGAAGGCAGCTGTTCTTTGGTAGAACAATGATTCTTTACCGCTTCCCTAAAGAGGCATGCATCAGTCAGGATTCAACCATGGTAGCAGATCCAGTAGGGGATCTATATTAAGAAGTTCAGGCAGGGTGCAGTGACTCATGCCTGTATTCCCAGCACTTTGGAAGGCTGAGGCGGGTGGATCACTTGAGGTCAGGAGTTCGAGACCACCCTGGCCTACATGGTGAAACCCCGTCTGTACTAAAAATACAAAAAAATTAGCCAGGCTGGTGGCAGGTGCCTGTAATTCCAGCTACTTGGGAGGCTGAGGCAGGAGAATTGCTTGAAACCGGGAGGTGGAGGTTGCAGTGAGCCGAGATTGCCGAGATTGCACCACTGCTCTCCAGCCAGGGCGACAGAGTGAGACTTCATCTCAAAAAAAAAAAAAAAAAAAAAAAAGATTTATTGCCAGAAATTGGCGTATGTGATTGTGGGGGTGAACAAGCAAGTCCTGAGTCCCTAGGGAGACCCAGTGGGGAGGGGAAGCCATGATGAGCAAGTTGGTTGCTTTCCTTGAAAGGGCAGCTCAGCAGGTCTCTGCGGGCCTTTCCGTTGATGGACACCACTCAAGCAAGACACAGAAATATTGACAAGAAGGTGTTGGGAAACAAGGAGAATATTTAAGATGACTCTTTCTCATGGCACCCATTTTCTTCTTCAGATGGTTGCTCAGCATAGCTGGTCACCATTCTCTCCCCAGCCCCCTCTTTGTCTCAGTATCTCATATTACTCAGGGTCTATGTTCTCTACAAAGGCAAATCACACAGGACAGCTGTCTGCTGCTATCCATGGGCTCAGCATTCGTTTCTAACTTTTATTCTGTTACTATGTGTTATGTGCTCATATACAAAATATATATGTAAAAATACACTATATATACACGCATATACATACTGCACGTACACATATACAGGTATACATATATGCATGTACACACACATATACATAACCATAGATATGTATCTATAAAATTTTTCTACAATTGCATTTCTCTGAATGAAGCTGTAAATTAACCCCTTTTCTTTCTTAACCTACACATTTACCCATGTGTTAAAGTCTGGTTACGAGGGCTGTAAGTTGACTCTTCCCCAACCAATAAGTACCTAAAATTTGTCCCGTTTGTTGAACTCAAATCAGTTTTATTATCTTCACTGCTACTGTTGTAAGTTTTGCTCCTTTTGGATACGGTGGATGCCAAACATCAGTTTGTACTCATGTGACAGTGACAAGTTGGGGTTCCCTCTGGGATATAACACATGATTCTTTGTTTTTACACAGATGACTGAATATTTTAATGGCAGTTGCAAATACAGATCTGGGGCACAGCTCATAAAAACAACACACGCACACACACACACACACACACACACACACACGCACGCAAGAATCATTTTCAGAATCCCTGTAGGTTTGAAAAAAATAAAATGATGAAGAACTTTCTATTTCAGAGCCCTTTTATAAAATGATGATTTTATTTGTTAATGTGCTGTATTCATTTCCAGATGGAACCTGGTGTTAATCACAGATGCACACCTCATTTGTAGATCTGTGTCTGTGCTCTACCGTGCGTATGCATGGTCCATACTGGGTACCACTCCCACAAAACTGATACTTCAAGGAAGAAAAGGGGCATGGATTTATCTTTAAAGATAAAAAGTTCAACTCTTTCAAGAAAAGCATTCTAAGATCTGGATCAAATATTTGATTTTTCACTAAACTACAAAATGAAAACCATTTTTAACAAATGCTGTACTTAGAGCCAACTGAACAAGGACTTTAGGAGGACTTTGTATTATTGTCTAAAGTCCAATTTGAAATCACTTAACTTGTCACCTTAGGTGCATTATCTATTGATTGGGCATCAATATTTAATTTTCTGTTTCTGAAGAAATTGCAACATCATATACCATCTTCAGTACATTTTAAAAAGCCAACTTCTAGTGTCTATATTTAGAATACAATTTGTAAGATTTTGCTCTTTTATAGAAAGTACTTTTTTCAAAGATACATATTTCTGTTGAGTGGCATTTTGAAACTATATATTGGTTTACATTCTCTTTGGATCTTCATTTTAACTTCCATGTTAATAAAAGAACAAAAGACTATTTATTTTGCCCTTCTCAAACGTGACAACACATTTGTGTGTCTGTGTGTTTGTCTTGTTCCACATCAGCTAGGGAGCCGCTGTCGTTCTGATGGCTGCTGGGGTGTGATGTGGCCTCACATGGCCAGTGTGATGGGGTAAGATGGGGTCAAATCTTGCTGCTATGGAGTCCTGGTTCCTGGTTGCATCACATACAGACCTGTCAGTCTATGTCAAGACAAGGCTTCATGTTTATCTGCATCAGTAGGCTTCAGGCGAGACAGATTCTTGTTTTTCTTGGTCATGATTTGGGGCCCCATGGTATTCGTAAAGAAGAAAAATATGTAGAAGTGAGTTTCGTAGGAGCCAAACCACCAGGTAACAAATAATCCCCTCAGTGTTTTCAAGCTACTGTGTGAAATTACATAAATTACGGTGTGAAGGTTTGTCAGTCCTCTTTCTCTCCCTCCCTTCCTTCCCTCCATCTTTCCTTCCCTCCCTCCCTCCCTTCCCTCCGTTTTTCCTTCCCTCCCTCTTTCCCTCCTTCCTTATTTTCTTTCTTCCTCTTTTTTCTTTTTCTTTCTCTCTCTCCTTCTCCCTTTCTCTCTCTCCTGCTTTCCCTTTCTCTCTCTTTCTTTCTTTTTCTTTCTTTCTTTCTTTCTTCTCTCCTTCCTTCCTCCCTCCCTCCCTCCCTCTCTGTCTCTCTCTCTCTCTCTCTTTCTTTCTTTTTTCTTTCTCTTTCTTTCTTTCTTTCTTTCTTTCTTCTTTCTTTCTTTCTCTTTCTCTCTTTCTTTCTTCTCTCTCTCTCTTTCTTTCTTTTTCTTTCTCTCTTTCTTTCTCCTACACATCTCTCAGAGGCTGTATTCCTCTACTTAAGCAACTGTATTATTTATATTTTTAGTGTCTTTTCCTGATGAATCAGTGGTAAGAAACATCTGTGAAAACAAAGATCTCTGACTTACAATTTAATAACATATCTTCTATGACTGAATTTAACAGTGTGCACAATTCTTTGGAAGTAGGCCACAGTGCACTGGCCTTTCTAATCACCATCCATGGCTACCCCAGACCCTGATGTGGAAACAGACTGGCAGTTACACAGCCTCTCATTATGCCCGACTCTCAAGGTCACTGTGGGAGGCTGTGTGATTGGGATTGAACATGTGCTCTCCAAGACCAGATGCCGAGCCTGACTCTGACATTTCTAGTCTTTGGCCACGTCCTGATGTCTCTCAGTTGGCTATCAGTAAAATGGAGGTACCAAGGACATTCCTTATGAGTTTAATTTGCACATCAAAAGTCTACATCAATGTATAAAATTGTTCCTTTTTCTTTTAAAGGAAATGATTTTGCCATGCCCTGTTATTTGTTTTAGGTTTTTTGAGGTATGTTCTGCATACAAGGACATGCGCCACTTTAAGGGTACACCTTGATGAGTGTTGACAAATAGATGCCCTTGTGTGACCACCATCATACTCAAGAGGTAGGATGTTTCCATTGGCCCACAAAGAGCACTTGTGTGTTTTTCCTGCAAACCACCACCAGCACAGGGCCCAGGGAAACACTGCCACACTTGCTGTCAGAATAGATTTCATGCCCTGTCTAAAGTTTCCCACCCACAGTACCATTTAGTGTGGTTGTTTTTGTGTCAGGGTCTGCTCGTTCAGAAAAATATTTTTGTGATCCATCGATGTTGCTGCAGGCTGCAATACCTCAGTCCTGTTTATTATTGATCGTTTTTCCATTGTAGGAAAACAACACAATTTTTTTACCCAGGACCGTGTTGACGGGCATTTGCTGTTCCCAGGTGCTGGCTATTATGAACAAAAATGCTATAAACACTCGAGTATATGTGTTTGCGTGAACTTATGTTTTCATTTCTTTGGGGCAGATACATAGAGGTGGGATTTCTGAGTTTTACTATATGTAAGCTTAGGTTTAACTTCATAATACAATGTCAAAAAGTTTTAAAGTGGCTGTATCATTTTGTAATCCCATCAGTAACCCAGGAGAGTTCCACTTGCCCCATACTCCCACCAACACTGGACATTGATAGTCTTCTTCATGTCCACCATTTCAGTGGGTGTGCAGTGGTTTCTCACCATGATTTTAATACAGATTCCTGACAATTAATGGAGCTGAGGAGCCTTCCAAGGCCTTATGGGCCATTCATATCTCTTCTTATTTGAAGGGTATGTTCACACAGTTTGTTCATTGTTAATAGTTTTGGATATCTACTTATTCTTGAGTTATGACTTCTTATATTTCCTAGAAACAAGTTTATTTTTTCTGATATGTGTCTTGCACATATTTTTTTCTAGTCTGTTAACTGCCTTCTTGTTTTCTTAACTATATCTTTTAAAGATTAGAAAACTTAAATTTTGATGAAGTCTCATTTATCAAGCCATCTTATAATTTATTTCATGCCTTATTCAAGAAATCTTTTCCTAACCCAAGACTGTAAAACTTTTTCCTAAGTTTTCTTCTAGCTCAATGTTGTCCAATGACAATACAATGTGAGCTATATATGCCATTTAAAATTTTTCAGTAGCCACATTAAATAAGTAAAAAGAAAGAGGAAAATTCATTTCAATAAAGTATTTTATTGAATCTAACACATCCAAAATAATATTATTCCAACATAGAATCAATATAAAGTTTACTAAAAAGCTATTCAACATTTTTAGTACTAAGCCTTTGATGTCTGGTGTGCATTTTACTCCTTTAGTATATCTTAAGTAGGACTTAGCTGTATTTTCAATGTATAATAATTACATGTGGCTAGCAATCACCATAATGAACAATATAGTCATATACATTTCATAGTTTCAACTTTCATACTGAGATTGTTAAGTTTTGAGTTAGTTTTCTTGTATGACATGAGATAAGGATAGAGGCTATTTCTCCCTCATACAAATATGTGTTTCTAATATTTTTCCCTCATACAAATATGTGTTTCTAATATCAGTTGCTAAACAATTATCCTTTTTCCATTGAATTAACTTGGCCTCTTTGTCAAAAAACAGTATATAATGGAAGTGTGGATCTATTTCTGGACCTTCCTCTCTCTTCAATGTTTATTAGTCTATCTCTCATCTATATACCTGTTTCCTCCCAATAATACATTAGCTTGATTACTGTAGGGTTATTATCAGTCTTGAATGAAATAACATTAGTATTCTACCTGTGCTATTAAAAATGATTTTGAATATTCTAGGTCATTCTGAATGTCCTCATATATTTAAAATGTATTTTTAAATTTAATTTATATTAAATTAAAATTGCATTTTAAATATTTATGTAAATTTATACAAGCAAAAACTAGTGAAGCTTCTATTGAAATTTTATTGAATTTTTAGATTAAATTGAACAGAATAGGCTTCTTAACTATTCTGAGTCATTTAGTTCATGAAAACATATGTATTTAATTCCCTCAATGATGTTTTGTGCTTTTCTGATCTTGCCCATATTTTGTTAAATTAGTACTAAGTGTCACTTGTTTCTGTTTTAACTGATATTTTAGATGGCACTCTTGAAACATTTCAGTTTTCAATTGCTCTTGCTGTGTATAGAAATACACAATTAATTTTGGCACATCGACCTTGTATTCCATGGCATTGCTAAGCTCACTTATTAGTTCTAATAACCTTTTTTAAGTACCTTGAGATTTCTACATACAGAGCCACATCATCTCTAATAAGAGACAGTTTTGCTTCTTCACTTCTGACTCATACCTTTTATATATCATCTTGCTTCATTATGTCAGCTACAGCCTTCAGTACAATCTCAAATAGAAATAGAACAGACTTCTCGTGTTCTTCCCCAGTCCTAGGCAGAAAGCATTCAAGTCTTTTACCCTCAGTTATGATGTTAGCTGTGGGATTTTCACAGATGGGCTATGTCAGGTTGAGGAGATTCTCTTGTATATCTAGTTTGCAAAGCATTTTTGCAATGAGTTGATTTTGTCAGATGCTTCGCGTGCAATTACCGAGTGCACTTTTAGGGAGTAGATGAAAACTGAAGCTCTTAGAGTAGATAACAATGTCCTTTGAGACATTGCAGCAAACCAAAATGAGCCACAGTCTGTCCCCTCTAGCTGTGGCTTCTGCATCAGATTTTTGGTAAGAGGCAAGGTTATTTCTAAAAAGAGAGGTTGACAAAGGCGCTGTTAATGTTAGCTGAGCACAGAAGGAGAGACTCAATAAGCAACAACTCAGAGTGGGGACAAAGCAGAGTCCAATTCGCCTGAGCTCATCATGGATGTGTATGTGTGAGTGAAAGGAGGAAAGGAGATGAAAGAAGGAAAGAACAGAAAGAGGACAGGGATGGGGAAGCGTGGAAGGAGAGATAGGAGGAAAGAGAATGCAGGGATAGTTAAAAACCTCATGGGAAGAATAAAGGTTCAAGACTTATCACATCTATCTGCACATGCCCTGAGAGTGAGCAAACAACCACGATGGGCAGCACATGCAGATCTAGCAGCCAGCACAGGAGCCAGTGATGAGGACAGCCAGTTAATCCGCTCAGATAAAGTAGAGGCATGAGGCCATGCACATCCTACCTTCTTTCATCATGAAAATGCAGAACATGTCCAACACTGGACGTGTGTCAGGCTCTGCACTGAACACTTCACACGTATCACCTCCTGCAAACCTCCAAGCAACCCTGTTAGGAAGGTTTTGTTATTCACTCATTTTTCAGGGACAGGCCATGAGCCATGTAGAGGATGAGTAGCATGCCCAGGGCTCCTGTCCAAGTGTAGCGGCCGAGTTCATGAGCAGGTGGTGGGGGCTACAGGGTCTGAGCTCCATCACTGGGCTTCAAGGATCCCCATGCTTTCCTCAGGAATCATAGTGCAGGCGGTGGGGCTACAGGGTCTGAGCTCCATCACTGGGCTTCAAGGGTTCCCATGCTTTCCTCAGGAATCATAGTTGGTCCCAGGGAGGACCTATGGGAGGGACGGCAGCAACAGCGGACACAGGCCTGCTTCAGGTGTCAAGGAAGTGACGCAGCAAATGAACTGTGCCAGAAATCAGAGCAAGATGAGACTTTTGAGCTGAAATTGGTAGTATAGGCTTCCAGAGAGCAGGGCATTTGGCGGTGCCTTGTAAGAACTGCTATACGATCCTGGCCCATCTTTTGCTAGCTTTTCCCACTTGACTTTTCACAAAACACTTGCCTTGGATACTTTCTTCTCCATCTTTAAGCCAAAAAAAAAGGATCTTTTATTGAAAAATAAAGAGAAGGGCTAACAGTGAAAAGCAAAAATCAGTCAAATATTAATTATTTTAAACTGATATAAATTATTCACAAAAGTAGCAAATTGTGACATGTTAATAGATTTTCTACCTAAAAATATAACTAAGCAATATTATTTAAAAAAAGAGAGATATAAAGGTTTAAAAAGAAAGACCTCAATGTTGTAAGATGAGTATGATATTATTTACCACCCAGTTAAAATATAGTTTTGAAAGATTTTATAGATAGAAAATACCATCACTTCTCTTGTTTGGAAGCGCATATATATATTCATAGAAATAATATTCAAATGATACACAATAAAATATCTACAGTGACTATTTTTGGTGTTAGGACTATAGATACATTTAATTTTCTTAATTTTATTTTTCAATTTATAGCCATAAAGTGTGCAAAATTACTGATTGATAAATTTAAATATATTTATGTATTTTCCTATATTTGCCTTCAAACATCCCTGTCTCGGCTACCTCGTGTCCAGAAATAGAGGAACACAAAGCATGAATGCAGTGTTTGTCACTGGTCATCAGTCTTCTTTGTAGACATTGGAAGAAAGCATGCGGTGTTTTTGTACACTTGAGTGTAAGTAGAGCAGGAGTGTTCATGCATGATTGATATAAAACAAGAGATTTAAATGCAGTGCTTGTCACTGGTCATCAGTCTTCTATGTAGATGTGGGAAGAAAGCATGTGGTGTGTTTGTACACTTGAGTGTATGTAGAGCAGAAGTGTTCATGCTTGATTGATATAAAACAAGAGATTTAACACAAACTCATGTTTTTATATCTTGCTTCTTGAGGTGCTTCTGTTTAATTTAATTTTATTCTGTCTTCGGGGGACGCTTGGAAGACACACTTGGAGAGGTGCTGGTCTTGCTCTTAATCAGCAGAGCACATGAGTGTAATTCCTAATTAATAGAAATTCTTTGTCCATGTATGACTATATGCTTGAATAATACACTTGCGGTGGATGTGCCACTCGTGAAAGATTGTCAAAATATCTGGAAATTTAAGAAACACCATCAAGCAATCCATGTTTCTAGACAGTGTTGCTCAGTCTTCTCACTAGACACAAATCCCTACACTTGGCCCCAGATGAACTACATGAGAGTTGTTCCCGTTCCTCTGGAGTTTGTTTTCAAACTTCTGTTGCAGTGTTTTCTTCTGGTGCATGTGATGGCCTTTTCCCTCTTTTGTGAATGAGGCAGTAGGGAAGAATGAATAGAATGTTCTTCCTCTATAATGAAAGGAAAAATATACTATTTTTTAAGGATCCATTATACTCTTCAGTCCTTGATTTAATGTTTTACTCGTACACGATTCTTGTATAGCGGAGGCCTCATATTTCTGAAACTGATTTGTGCATTCCGAAGTGTGTGTATTCACTTTCATCATATATTAGTCTGTTGTACTCCATCTCTCTGGACCATAATAATGTTCTGAAATTTACCTTTACTTAGAAACTGGAAGCTGACATTCACTATGTAATAGATTCCCAAATTGGCCCTTATTTTTCCTCTTTTCCAGCATTATCACTCTTTCTCATGAGGCTTTCAGAGGTATCCTAATCTGATCTTAAGCTGGACACTTAACTCATTTTGGCGAAGGGAATGTTAGCAAAGTGATGCAGGCTAGAGCTGGAGAAGTGTGAGTGTAATGATGTCTGACCTTGCTGGCCTTGCCCTGTCACTGCCACAAGAAGGACGTCCTGAGACTAGCCCACAGATCCCAGGAAGAGGATGAGAGAAGACAGTGGATTTGAGTTGTCAATGTCAATCCAATGGACCCATCAGACATTCAGCTGTCAACTTCCAGAGAGCACGGGCAAGCCTTGCAGGAATCAAACGTGCCACCCACCGCCCACAGCCAGAATGCCAGCTTGCACGCTTGTGACCTCCGCAGACATTTATGTGTCTTGTGTCAGAAGTTTTATGGTTGTTTCTCATGCAGTACTACTGTGGCAATTAATAGATCAGCAATCATGCTATCACACCGCAGTGCTTTCCTAACGAAAATCTAAGATTTTGACATTTGTTTTGGGACAAAGTGGTGGTTGGAAGTTAAAAGTGATTAAAAAAAAAACCTAATATAATGTTGGAAAATGGCAAGGAAAATGTTATAGACAGCTTAGAAAATAATAACCCTAGTTAAATACTTGAGAAGGTTTAGAAAACAAACTCAAAACATTACATATAGTCACTTAGAACATTTAAGTATATATATTTAAAATACACACACACACACACACACACACACACACACACACACCTCCTGGCTCTTTGGGTTTGTAGAGGAGAACCTGTAAGTATATGGATGAAAGTATCTCCTGTCTCTTAGTAGCTGCATATATGACTGAACATCGGGAGAGACATGAAATAAATAATGAAATAGCCGATTTTGAGGCATAATTCAAATAAACTATTACATAAATTTCAGAAATTCTGGGATTTCCGTGGGTTAGAAAGTAAATATGTTTTTCTTTCTCTTCCTCTCTAGCAAAGAAAATTGTGTCACATTAAAATGGCCTCAAGGTAAAAATAAAACCAACGATCTTTATCGTTAAGTCATCAGAAAAAAACAAACCAAGCTGATGCCTAGTAAGGTATTCCTAGCTGAATCTTAAAAAAAAAGAAAAAAGAGGTTCTACAAATTTAATTTTATTGTTCCATAGCAGCCTGACCTACCCACGGTAGGTCTTATTCATGTCTAGAAAGTAAAGCATTGACACAGATGCACACGCACACACACACATGCACACACACAAACACACACGCACATATACACACATGCACACACACATACACACACACAGAAGGCTTTTGGTGCAAGAAGGAAACTAAAATCTGAAACAAAAATTATACATGGCTTTTTAGTTTTTTGTTCATTTGACTGCTTATTTCTTAAATTGGTTGCTCTTGCAAAAGCTATAGAAAACAGCAGATTAAAATGACTAAAATATACGACAGTTTCTGGACCCAAAACTTTCCATGGTAGAAAGCTGTATAGAAGGTGCTTTTTCCAGTGTATTTACAGAAGAGTGAAGGAAGCTCTATCAGAAGGCAGAAACAATCCTTGCCCCCAGGTGAAAGAGGACTCGCAGCATTTACTCAACAGATTTCAGAATCACTATGGACCAGAAACGGCTGTTTATCATTGCTTTCCTTTTTCATGTGAAAGTGTTCATTGCAGGGAATCTGTCTCTCTCTCACTAGGTACATTTTGTGTTTCAGAGGCAAATCATTGTCTCTTTAGTTCACAGTTCTCAAGATGAAGAAGAGAGAAACATGAATGTAAAACAGGTCACAGGACCCTGGACAAAACGAAACTCAACATGGGAGGCGACGTGAGAAGATCCTAGTGATGGATTTAAGCATGTTTTTTAAAGTGGGAAGACAGTGAGAATTATGGGTAGAACATTGACTATCACAGATTGAAAAAAATCTGGTCCCCTTCCAAGAATGTTTGCCCTTTTCCCCAGAACATTGCAGTGATGTTCCACCTTCCGCCTGGCCTCAGTTCCAAGACTCACTTTGGCCAGGCCAATATGATGCAAGAAGATGCTGGGAAAGTGTTTGTGCAATTGTATTTGCTTTTTCTCTTCACAGCATTCATCACTATGAGAAAGACATACTTGAGCTACCCATTTGGTCCTAAGGAGGATGAAGCATGCTGTGTGACAGAGACAACCAGCAGACATTTGAGCCAGGACAGCCTTCTTTTAAAAAGTAACATGCCAGAGTTGGCTTCAATAGATTCTAGTCCTTAAGAAATGCAACCCTGAAAAATACATTCTAAGTCTAGACTGAAGTGTGTGCCCTGAGTATATGCACTTCTTAGCCTGTAAGTCAGGCTTCAGAATTAAATGCATTTTCAGAAAATCCAGCTCATTTTGTCTGATCTACTACTTTGGAGGAAGAAAAATTCTATGACAATTTTTTAAGGAGATCCTGCATTAGTACACTGTGATTTAATAATTTAACAGATCTGTGGCCCTATGCCTAATCATTGATGGAAAATGTCACCAAAAATAGATTATATGTGGGGGGAAATAGGGTCTGGTGTCTGATATGCTGGTATATACTTGTGAAAACCAATTTACCTGAGGAATAAATACGATATCATTTAATTTAAGTGGAACAGCAAATGCAGTCTAGCAATTTTTTTCTGACTACAGTTTCCATCTTCTAAAATCTAAAAATAAGAATTACATTTTCATCAGTAAAAGGCATTAGAATAGCAGAAGCTGGAATTTTCCATTTGTATGCATGCTAAGTAGTCACTTCATCCTAAAGCTATAAATGAAAATCTTTTATATGGTAAATTCGGAATAATTACAGAGCCACAATGTAGTAAATACTGCAGCCAACAATGTTCTATGAAAACAAAAACTTAATTTTCAGTTTTTATCACGTTGTTAATATTTGGCCTTTTATGAATAAGGTTTTAAATGTCTCCAGTGAATGGCACAGACTATGTTCCAGTTGCAGTTTTTTTTTTTTTCTGGTAAGATATAGTTCTTCTTTCAAAGTAGGAAATGTTCAGAAAGCATATTTGGCTTAATATGTGATAATTTTTCTTTTGATAACACAGTGAATAATTTTAGAAAAGAAGTTGCTTTTCTAAGCATTTATCAGCTGTCTCTCTCTGGAGAAGCCTTACATTTTTATGTTCTTATTTTGTCACATCTAACTGAAATTCTTTCAGATAGCTTTATCTAAAGGTCAGTTACCTGTGCCATCCAATTTAATTTTATCTACAAAGTTTTGAGAGTCTGGATTTGGATTATAGATAGGTAAAGATAAGCGTAATGTCATAGGCATGTACACACCTTGGCAGCCAGAATTGCAGCTTGCTAACCAACAAGGATTTGCAGTGAGCAGCTAGCAGCAGAAGTGGGTAATTGGGGGAAAATGCCCTCTGACAGTTAACCTCAAAACAACTTCTAATGGATTAGAGCAGAAAAAAATAGTCACTTAAAAACTATGAGTGGGCTGCTAGACGAGCTAGACTTATCAGGGTTCCAAATAAGAGAAAAACAAGTGAAAAGATGTGCACAAACACTCCCAGTGACATCAAAAAAGGGAGGCTTAAAAAGTAGATTTTTAATATTCTATCTTATTGACAATAAAATCTCTATCAGGGAATAGATGTTTAGGCTATTTAGCTTCAGTGATTGTATTAGTCCGTTTTCATGCTGCTAATAAAGACATACCCGAGACTGGCTAATTTATACAGAGAAAAAGGTTTATGGGACTTACAGCTCCATGTGGGTGGGGAGGCCTCACAATCATGGCAGAAGGCAAAAAGGAGATGGATGGCAGCAGGAAAAGAGAGAGAGCATTTACAGGAAAACTCCCACTTATAAAACCACCAGATCTCATGAGACTTATTCACTATCACGAGAACAGCATGGGAAAGACCTGCCCTTTGATTCAATTACCTCCCACCGGGTCCTTCCCCAAACACGTGGGAATTCAAGATGAGATTTGGGTGGGGACACAGCCAAACCATATCAGTGCCATTAAATAATAAAATTGGCTAACTAATCCCTTTAGTTCTGATTTCATGCTCAACAAACAATGTTTGATTTCCATCTGGTTTCCCCTGTAGGGATTCCCATACAAGAGAATATGTGGGCTTTGCAGGATAAGAATATCAGCCTTTGTGACAGTATTACTTTTGCTTCCAGGCAAATACTGGTCTTTTGCTTTTCCTGATCAGTCTGGTGAATGCATCTTCTGAATTAAATCTCCCAAATGCACTGGCACAACCAAATTATTTTATTTGTTTCCATGTACTTTTCCTCCAAGGTCTGGGCACCACGTCCCAGAAGATCTTGTGGAAATCCTACGTTCTCTCCACTGGCTTTAGGGAAGGATCCTTCCCTGCCTCTTCCAGCCTCTGGTGAGTCCCGTGGTTCCTGACCATTTAGGAGCATACTCCAATCTTCACGTCCATGGTTATATTTCCTTCTCTCTTTGTGTGCTCATGTCTTCTCCTCTTCTGACTTTTATGAGGATACTTGTACTTGTCACTGGATTTAGGGTCCACCCATGTAATCCAGGAGGATCTTACTCATCTCAAGGTCCTGAGCATCTGCAAAAACCCTTTTTCCAAAGAAGGTCACATTCACAAGGTCTGAGTATGAGAACATAGACATATCCTTGGGGAGCTATTACTCAACACACAACACGTATTAGTTTTATAATAACCATCTTTTGCCATTGAAATTAACTTCATTTATTCATATTTCCAGTAAAGAACTTTCAAAACCTCCCTCAACAGGCAATCGCTCCTTGGCAAATTCTTCATGCTTGATTTAGAATCATTTCTTTGATGTCGTCAAGCTTGGTTGCTTCATCCTGAAGCCTAATGGGAGAAGAAGGTAAAAATGTATAGGATTCAGTTTCAGTCCTCACTGAAATGCAGGTCACTCATTCATCAAGGAGACTTTCTATTACTGGAGGAACATTTTTATTTGGAATGTAATGGAAAAATCATTAATGCTCATTGCATCACTCATTATGCAAATCAATAATAAGCATTGTAATATCATTAATCCTACATTGAAAATGTCATCAATGTGTTTTTTAGGATGAAATTAGGAAATATATTCCACAGACCAAGTGTTTTTATATGCATATTTTATATTACAAGGCAGTGCTATCTTAACCCAAAGAATCCAACCTTTGTTCCTTGCCTTATTGGAATGTCAATTAATGTGAGCTTAAAGCAGCTATTTTAAAAGGACTGGGTTGAATAATGCATGTCTTTATGAGATAATAACAGTCCTTTCTCTACATGTTATTTTGAACCACTGTGTAGAATGTCTGGTCAATGATCATTTTCAAAGATAAACTGAACCTACAAGCTGGATCAATATGTTAAAGAGGCTAGAACTGTCATAAATTCTTTCTGGTCAGGATTTCACAAATGAGAATTTAAATTTCTCGGTGAAGAACCCAAGGAAGAGAGCTGATGGGGCAGGATTTCGTTTCTAAAGTCTCACATCTGAGTCACCATATTTGTGTATGGAAGAGGAGTTTTAAGATATGACCAGGACTGTCAATTTTTTTTAACCTTAACAGCGCACTTAGAGACAGAAACTCAGATAACAGGGCCTACTTGGGACTGAAAATAAGAATATGAAATAATTAATGTCGTGAAAGCCATGAAGATATACCTCACTTCTAAATGTTAAGTGCTTGAGTAATTCGTTTATTAGCAGAATCAGTAACATCTCTCTATAGAACTTATTTCAGCTCACAGGCATTTACACATTTTGACTGAGGAATACTTCAAAAACTGTATGAACTGCTTTCAGAGAAAAGGGTAAAAAATAACTAACAAATTACTAAAAGCAATTCTAGTGAAGGAAAATGTCTTTGGAAAGGCATGATACCTGGATTTCCATGTGCATCAAGAGACAGTCTTGAACATGTAGTGGATTAATTTGGAGGACATACTCAGCAGAGGCCATCAGCTGATTTCATGTTCTTTAGCAATAAAACCCAAAATATATTCAAAATGTATGAAGA
This sequence comes from Homo sapiens, assembly GCF_000001405.40. NCBI lineage: Eukaryota > Metazoa > Chordata > Mammalia > Primates > Hominidae > Homo > Homo sapiens. Next base: position 2,418,582 of record NC_000010.11, on the reverse strand, counting down.
GGATAACCCATCCTATAGAATAATGCTTACATTCGGGTACAATTCTCCTACTCTGAGCATAACAATATTCAGCCAAACTGTGGCTTCAAAGTGTTTGCATGATGTGTGGTTGGGCATGGGGAGTAGCAGGCCTGGGAGACACTGATAAATAACATCAAGAGAAATGCACACTGATCTGGGAAGAGTCTGGGTAAAGGACTCTGGGAACACTGAAGATACACATCAGGTAGCTCTCTATTCTCCCCATAGCTGAGGTTTCCATGACACTCTAAAAAAAAAAAAAAATAGAACAGAAGATGCCAGAGCCTGGGAAGGGGAGGGGAAGTGGAGGGATAGGGAGAGATGTGTTAAATGATACAAATTTCAGCTGGACGGGAGGAAGTTCTTGTTTCCGTACCACTGTAGGATGACTATAGTTAACAATAATATATGGTTTCAGATAGCCAGAAGGAGAATACTGAATGTTCCCAATACAAAGACATGATCAACTTTGAGACGATGGTGGGCTAATGACTCTGGTCTAATCACTATAGGTATGGAAACGTCACTGTGTACCCCATGAATATGAACAATTATTATTTGTCAATTAAAAAACAAAATTTTGAAAATAAATGACACAGTAAAATTTTCAATAACTTAGGATTTCTGACTTAAAGGCATTTTTAAAAAGTTATAAAACCTGCATATTTTCTTTGATTTCTATTGTTTTTGGTGCAGTTCACTTGTGATTCAGTTTTTCCATTTATTTTAAGCAGAAATACACTTTATTCCTTTGAATATGTTTTTCTAAACAATTTAAGAGATCAATTAGACTTTTAAACAGCTCTGTTGTTTCAATGTCATCTGCTCTAAAACACTTTTTTAAAGCCAGAATCAGAGCACTATTATTAATTACATTTTGCTAAGCACACTTTGGTCAAGGAAGCACTTTTCAGCTCTAAGTGTATTAAAGTCTGCAGTTAACATCATGTTGAAACACCGACTGGAAAACAAGGAATGACTTTTATTATTTGTGAAAAACATTACCCCATATACTAAGTGGTGTTCCATGATTAATTTCTTACTGTGTACATCTTGGAGATACTAGAAATCCCTTGACATGTACTCATAACGTAATTGCTATATTGATGTGGAAATGGGGAAGATTAATTGGAATATAAACTAATCTTTCTTGCTTTTAAATTGTTATAAGACTGTATCAAGTTTCTGTGAAACCCAGGCTGGAGTGCAGTGGCAGGATCTTGGCTCACTGCAGCCTCCGCCTCCCGAGTTCAAGCGATTCTCCTGCCTCAGCCTCCTCGGTAACTGGGACTGCAGGCACATGCCGCCATGCCTGGCTATGTTTTGTTCTATTTTTAGTAGATATGGGGTTTCACCAGGTTGGCCAGGATGGTCTCCATCTCTTGACCTCATGATCAGCCCGCCTCAGCCTCCCAAAGTGCTGGGATTACAGGCGTAAGCGACTGCGTGTGGCCCCCAATCCTATTTTTAAAAATTATTTAGTTATATATTTATCCTGGTAATATTTACGTTTGATTTGGCAGCAAGACAGAATTGGAAGGTGGCCTGCTTGTTGGAAATGCCAGCGCAGTTTTCTAGGGTTCAGGGTCAGGCTGCACATATGGTGAAGACGGAGCTGGGAATCGTGTGGGAAGTCACAGCTAATGCTGACCTCCCCTCTACACACTGCAGACAAAATGCAATAATGTTAGCATCTCAAAGAATGTGTCAGAAGCATAAGACATGGCAGGAGGCCCAGAAGGTGAACCTGTCAATAGACCCTCAGCAAAGGAGGAGCAGGTGAGGCTCCCATGGAGCTCACGAGCTTAGGGGCCGGAAGCCAGGAGCAGAGCTGGGCCCCACAGAGCTTCCGGCTCGAAAATCCATTTGGAATCTGCATCTATTGCGCTGTTCAGTACAATTATCCCTGATATGCTTATCTCCACTGTTTGGCATTTGCTATCCAGTAGTTTCCATAATTGGGATTTTTTTCTTTATAATTATTTTTTAAAATTTCATGTTACCAATTTTATCTCATCACTTTGGGATATTTAAAGCTTTCTTATATTTTCTTGATCTGTTTCTGTTTTTTTGTTTTCTCTGTGGTAAGTTGTACAATTTTATTTTATCTTTTACATTTTAGACACATAGGTTTCCTCATTGCTTTTCCCTGTAGACTCGTATTTCCAATTGTTGTCAGCTAGCAAGGACGGTAACACTAATTCCCAGAGAGAGGGCTACATTTTCAGCTATGGTTTATACGTTTCACCTAAAGCTAGCACCACCAAAGCCCCAGCCAGCCAGATTTGAGTCCCGTTTATACTTGACTATCCCAGAACAGAGCTGACAAATTTTGATTTGGCGATTTTGATTTTTTTTTTTTCGCCTCAAAGTGGAAACCCATGACAACAACCAACTGAGGATGCTGTGATGGAGAGAAAGGACCCTACTAAAAGCATTTTCTGCAACCACCCTTTACCCCTCGTGCCTGTTTCTTCTGCACTCCGGATGTGGCTTTACATTAGGATTTTGAAGCACCTGCAGCTTTTGTTGCGTTAAAATACCCCACACTCCCATATCTCAGTGGCTTAAGACAGCAACCTTTCCTTTAGCTCAAAATTTTGTCTGTCAGCCGGGAAGTTCACAGGGTTTTGGCCAGTTCGGCTGGAAACATCTGGGCTCCCTCATGCACCTGTGGATAGCTGGAGCATCCCCTGGCAACAGGATTATCTAGGTGACTGCACTCGCATATCTGGTGTTTGGAAGGCTGTCTTTTAGGGTGAAGAGATGATAGGGCCACACGTATATCATCACCCAGCAGGTTAGCCCAGGGCGCTTCCCAAGGCAGTAGTGGGGTTCTAAGAACAGTGATGGAAGGCTCCAGTGTGCTTTTGAAACCACGCTAGGTCATGTTTGTCTGGCTACTGTGACTCACTTCACCAACCTGGATGCAACAGGTGGAGAAGAGTTTCCACCTTTTTATGAGAGAATCCACAGTGTTACAGCCACTGCATGAATATGGAAGAGGAGGGTTTCCAGCCTTAAAATCCTCCCTAGAGGTACGTTTTCTCCTGTGGAATTGGTGCAAGTAGAGATCTTCCCCAATAAACCCGTTGAGTCTGTTTTAATTTGAACAATTTGAACAAGGAGTGATCTGAGGTTCTGAAACTTCAGCCTTATTTGCAGGGGTTGCAATCTGCAAGGCCACTGCCCAGATTCAATATTTCAGATGGGTCCATTTGGATCACATGAGGATATCACGCACGTGTGAAGTTGAGAGATTCACTTAGACATCAATTTTCTGGATGACGTGGCACCCATTCCTGCATGCCAACGCCTGGTTGCTGTTGAGTAGGCGCCTCTCCCTTTAGGACTCCCTAGTAGCCCCCATTGGAAGGCATTGCAATTCACCACTTCTAAGACAAGTTAAAGCCATGAGTATTGGGTCCCAGAAATTGTCAAGTGTGAATTTTACTACTTGATCACTTTAGCGATAGGAAATAATCAGCAAAGCAATGCAGCAAAGCAAATATATACATATTTGAGAAATGTCCACTTCTTGTATATAAAAAAATATAAAATGTATTCCTGGGAAATCAGGAGGCAATTAACTAGATAGTATTTAGCCAGTCATATAAAATCAGGGCTAACAGGAAATATTAATATTATTCATGGCATATTTTTATTCTCTTCCTCCACCATAAGAAAGTGTTCTTTTATCGTCCAACTGCAAAGCCGAACTATAAGAAAAGGAAATGTATCTGTTACACCATTTCCATACACAAATAATTTGTATAAATTAAGGGCAATTTTTTGCTTTCTCAGCATTTATATTTTAAAACGTAAATTAACATTTTGGGAAGTGGACATTTTTCAAAAATTTTTTTTATTTCTAAAATTGGAATGCAAAGTATTTTTTTAGTTAAAGTTTTCTTTTGCCTTTTTGTTTTGTTTTGTTTTGATTAATTGAATGAGCAAATATGGAGAGCAAGGGATTTGGGCCTCAATAGACGCCAAGGAGTCACATTATGCATAAGGCAAATTCTGAAAGAAAATTGAATATGATCCCTCCAAATCAATGAGGGTGGAGTCACAGGGAACAGCCACCTTGTCCCTTGGAAGCTTGCTGATGTGAGTTGGCTTCTATGCCACCCCAGTTGTGACTTGGATAACTGATGGCAACTGGCCATGCTATGGATGTTGAAAGCATAAGCCCACTTGGCTTAAGCTAGATCATTCACTGCTAAACCTTTTAACCCTTTACCAGTTTTCTCGGAGAATACTCACCAGGGCACTTGCAGCTGCAGCGTGTACCCTGAGATAACTTTGCCATGAAATACCTAGGTTTTATTATTATTTTTGCATCACGCTAGTATATTGACTTTGGAAACAGAAGACGTCATTCTGTTTATAGCATTCTTTTTTTAGTAGCGGTATTTCCGTTCACAAAGTACAGTCATTGTTGATCACTGAACATGTCAAATCCTAGAAAACTAGAAAACGTAGCATTCTTACGTGGATGTTAACATCCTTCTTGAACAGTCATTGCCTGAAGATTCATTTGATGAATTCGATTTTTCTGACATAGACAATTCTGATGGTTCTGATGTGAGTTCTGTTTAGAAATAACTCCAAGAACAGTTTTTATATTTTATTTTCACATTGAAAATCAGTCAGATTGGCTGCAGCCTCAGACCATGTTTATGTAAACTTTAATGAGTGCTGGCAGCCAACTGCACTTTTTTTTCCTAAACACCAAAAGGATTAAGAAACTTAAAATGAGATAAAACAATGAACAGATATAGCTGATTTGAATTTCACTAGTTGAATAAAAATACGTTTGTTAGGTTAGAGTTTGGTCATCAGATAGATTAGAAATAAAATACATTAACATTATTGAGATAATGTTCTTTTATTGTCCAACTGCAAAGTAGAAAACATAAATACATTGTGCATCTTGTAAAATGATTTAATTTCTCATTTTACAATATTCTGTTATTTGCACTGGACTACTTTTCTCTTTATATTGAAAATAAATCTCAACCTGACAAAATTCGATAAGTTCTTATGTCCCTAGACATTTGTGTTATTAAATTGGGAATTATGCCAATTCAATTCCCTAACTTATTGTTCCTCATCCCGCTTTCTTGCATTACCAGAGAAAAATATTTTGCTGGCAATCATAAAAATCCTAGATTTTTAACATCATGGAACAAAGCAGATAACAGATACAGTTAACTTTAGAATTCCATAGTGTGAATTAAAAATGAGGTTCTGAGGTTCGTAGTTCTTATATAGCCTCATTTCATAGAGATTTTAATCTGTTTGAAATATAATTATTTGACCTCAATATTTTAAAACAATTTCAACTTGCTCAACTGTTAGGTTTAACCGCATTTCATTTTTTATGGCTGGCTAAGAGTTGCATGTGAAGAAGAGAAAAATGAGAAGGAAGAGAAACAGGCTACAAACAGCCTCTCATTCTGTAGGTTTCCATATGCATACACGAGAAGTTTGTAATTTGGTGCACATAGTTTTGCAAATACATGGAAATTAACACAGACACCTAGCCATTTTGTCTAACTGCCTAACTAAGAAATATTGTCCATCCATGAGTTTTTTAAAAACAATAGCACAGACTGGAATATGGCGCCTTGATGTTCTTCTCTGCTGGAAACTGAGACTTACAAAGCCTTTCATTTTCATAAGCAGAGCCCCTCTATTTTGCAGCATTATGCAGCTGCCATGGTACCATCTGTAGCTCTTCGTGAGCTTGTGTGATGTGCTTCCTACTGCCATGTCTTGGACACACCTGGTCATGGCCTCATTCATTGAAGTTGAATTGAACAAATTGGCACAAATGTGGAAGAAGCTCAGCTGCCTACCATAGTCGGGGAAAATGAACTCTTGGGTCATGAATAGGATAAAGCCACATTTGGAAGATAATAACACAGATGGGAAGGAAGACTCCAGACAAAAGAATTATTTATTCCACGAAGAATTGACTTTAAGTCTCTTTGCTCAAAATAAGGATAGATTGCCTTAACGGGTAGGTAGTAAGGAGGCACAATCCACGCAGAGTCAAGGAGAAGGCATTGATGAGCAATATAGGTGGATAAGTCACGGACATCCGGGAGGAAGAGAAGCAGGTAGCATGGCCCCAAAGCCCCAACAGAATTTCAACTTCCAAGAACCCTGAGAAAATAAGAGCAATTTTTAGTGTAAGGAAGGGGTATTTTACATTACTAACACAGAGTAGGGAAAATATTCATTACAAACACAGGGAGTAAGGAAAATATTGTATAGCCACCGTTAAAAAATGGAAGACAATGGTAAGACCTCTGGAAGCAAGACAGAGTGGTTTGAGATATGGTTGTCAATACAAGAGAATCCAAAGCATGAGTTAGAATTCCTAGAGTTGTGGCTCCCCAGATCCCCTGGCAACCTCTTAAAACACACTTGGTTAAGTTTTAAAGTTCTAATGCCGGGACCTCACGCAGATGCGTGAAACCGAAGCATCATGAGATGTGGTCCAGATACCAGCATTTATTAAAAAGAGCCCCAGGTGATACGACTATCAGCGACTGTAGAAAATTACTGCTTTAGCATACTTTCCCGTTTCTGAGATTGGAACTGGTCCAATAAAATTGTGTATACTAAACATGCAAGAGTAAATCCACAAAGATTGATGGTGTGTACTTTACACAGGCAGCGGAATGCACAGGTGTCTTTGGAATTATGAATGTAGATGGGACAGGCTTTCCCTTGAGAACTTTTTAATTTCCTGTTAGTAAAAAAAAAAAAAAAGAAAAGAAAAGAAAAAGTGCAGCTCTCTGCCAGCGCTCATTTAATTTTACATAAACATGCTCTGAGGCTGAAGCATATCTGACTAATTTTCAGTGCGAAAACAAAATATAAAAACTGCACTTGGAGTTCTTTCTAAAGAGAACTGACATCAGAATCGTCTGAATGATCAGAATCATCCAGGTCGGAAAAACTGGATTCATCAAATGAATCTTCCGCCAACAACTGTTGGAGAACCATGTTAACATCACGCGTAGGAATGCTACGTTTTCCAGGGTTTGATATTTTCAATGATCGAGCATTACTATGTTTTGTAAATGGAAATACCACTACTAAAAATAGAATATAAGCCGGGCACGGTGACTCATGCCTGTAATCCCAGCACTTTGTGAGGCTGAGGTGGGCGGATCATCCGAGGTCGGGAGTTCAAGACCAAACTGACCAACATCGAGAAACCCCATCTCTACTAAAAATACAAAATTAACCGGGCGTGGTGGTGCATGCCTGTAATCCCAGATACACTGGAGGCTGAGGCAGGAGAATCGCTTGAACCTGGGAGGCGGAGGTTGCAGTGAGCCAAGATCACGCCATTGCACTCCAGCCTGGGTAACGAGAGAGATTCCGTCTCAAAAATAAATAAATAAATAAATAAAGAATGCTCTAAATAGAATGATTTATTTCCAAAATCGATATAGTAGAGCGATGCGAAAATAATAATAAAAGCGAGATATTTCGTGGCAGAGTTATCTCAGCGTAAGCTGCAGCCACAAGCGCAGCTGGCGAATATTCTCCAGGCCAAGGGGAAAAGCATTAACTCCGCTGAGAAGAATCGGCCCAAGAATTCCGTATCACAGAAGATGCTGTCTGAGCATTATCCTTCACCCTCAAGTCCTGGCATCAGCTGTCCAGGCCGTGGGTACTCCCTGTCCACTCGCCCACCCACAATGATGAGACTGCCGCGGTCCTGAAGTCCTAACGCAGAGCCGAGTGACATGGTCTGTCTGTGCTGCTGGTGTCGTGTTGCTTCCAAAGAGCCTTTGAAGATGGGATACAGGCCGGGCACAGTGGCTTACGCCTGTAATTCCAGCAGTTTGGGAGGCCGAGGCAGGTGGATCACCTGAGGTCAGGAGTTCAAGACCAGCCTGACCAACATGGTGAAAATGTTGTCTCTACAAAAATACAAAACTTAGCTGGGCGTGGTGACTGGTGCCTGTAATCCCAGCTACTCGGGAGGCTGAGGTTGCAGTGAGCCGAGATCAGCCATTGCACTCCAGCCTGGGCAACAAGAGCGAAATTCCGTCTCAAAAAATAAAAAAATAAATAAGTAAATAAATGTTTGAGTGAGCATGATGCTTTCAGATGTATTTACAATCATCTTCTCCATACCTCCCCTGCTGCCTGTTATCAGACACTCATAACTAACACACACTCACACACTCTCACAATCACACACACACACTCCCAGGTGCACATGTATATGCTCACACACTTATACACACTCACACAGTCACACGTGTGTGTGATCACACTCATGTGCACACCACACACAGTCTCACAGATGCACACACATGCATACTTGTGCATCCTTGCCACATACGCACAGACAGGTATAGGTGTGCACTCACACACTCTCCCACACATGTGCACACACGCACACACACTCTCTCACGTGCACACACACTTGCCCATGATCTTTGTCTCAGCTGAAGTTATTGACACACACCTGAGCTACAATCCCCAGAGAAATAACTTCCCATCTAGTGCAGCAGTTTTTCAAAGATTCATTTTGTATCACCCATACTATCGTCAATTATATCAATGACCCAAAATATTTTAAATTGTTTTATACACCTTAATTTTACAAATAATCTTGACCATGGCAAAACTATCTTCTGAATAATTCTAAAATTTGCTGTTATTCCAATATGCAGCTGTAGTATATTTTAAATTAATAGTTTGATGAGCCGTGGAGGCATGAATTGAAGCATATTTATTTACCAAATGTACATAAGATACAAGTAAACAAAGTTATTTTTCATTTTCTGTGGACCTCTGAGGAAATCTGATTTCTCAATTTGAGAAAAAGTATTAGCCTTATAAACTTTTAATCTCATATCACTTTCCCTTAATATATTTTAAAAATATATAAATTATTGAATTTAATATTTACCAATTCCCTTAACATATCATCACATTACACATTAAAAGATAATGTAGTTTCCTTACAGCTTTGTAATGTAAGATGCTATTTCAGTAACGTCAGTGTCTGAAATTTTAAATTATATTCAGTATATATTTAAACTTAAACATTTTCACAACAGAGTTAAATATGAAAAAACTATTTAAGAACATCTGTTTCAGATCTTGTTGGGAGAATCAGGAACTAAGACCAAGTATATACATCTTGAATCCAAAATCTATTTAAAATGTGGAGTAAGCTGGGCGCGGTGGGTCACGCCTGTAATCCCAGCACTTTGGGAGGCCGAGGCAGGTGGATCACCTGAAGTCAGGAGTTCGAGACCAGCCTGGCCAACATGGCGAAACCCTGTCTCTACAAAAATAGACAAATTAGCCACTAGGAGGCCAAGGTGGGCGGATCGTGAGGTCAGGAGATCAAGGCAATCCTGACTAACACAGTGAAACCCCGTCTCTACTAGAAATAAAAAAATTAGCCAGGCGTGGTGGCATGCGCCTGTAATCCCAGCTACATTTTGGGAGGCTGAGGCAGGAGAATCGCTTGAACCAGAGAGGCAGAGGTTGCAGTGAGCCGAGATGGCACCACTGCACTCCAGCCTGGGCGACAGAGCGAGACTTCATCTCAAAATAAATAAAATGTGGATTAAATCTAACTGAAGCCAGGAATGTGGAGGAATTATTCTTCCTCTTCGATCCTAGTTTGCTGAATATTTCACACAATATGTTTTCATCCAACTCTTCAGAATACAGAAACACATGTAAGATTCCTGGTCACATAAAAGTCTCTAGTTGTTGAACAAATTTATTTTATGGGGAGGATTCGTTACATTGATTAAGTTATTGTCATCAAAAAGAAAATTATCACCAGCAAGAATGGGATATTTCAAGGTAGTTCCACAGTGCTTCTGCGGGCAATGGCTGAGAACTCCTTGAATGGTGTGATGAAATTTGGAATCACGTTAGTTGAGACTAACAGTCTTAACTTGGTGCAAGGAGAATCTGAAGTAATACATTTGGAAGATTGAAAGTTGAAACTGGCATTTGGAGATAAAAAATTCAAAAGTATTAGAACAACATCATAAACTCTGATTTTTTTATGTAGATTCAGTTATCAAATATAAGGTGAAAATAAATATATTTATATCAAAATATTATGACATCTGGGTGACCTAAGAATTACAAAATATTGCAAATATATGATATCATTAGAATTTTGCCAAAAATTCTTAAATAATATTGAGGATTAATATACTTATTTATTGGACACATATATTTGTATTTGTAAATTAACAGATTATGTAACATGTATCTAAGCTATATTTCTCCCTGTTATTTTTTTAAGAGTTGAATTTTTTAAGAGTTGAATTCCAGGAATTCGGCATCTTAAATTTATCTGAGTTATTTTTATTGCATGGTATCTCGTTGACAATTGCTAGATTAAAATAACTTTTAAAAAACGTTCTTTTAATATTTGATGACAGTTGCAGCAGTTACTTTAAAGTGCACATGTGCTGACTTCATGGTTTCTATAATTTCTACGTCGGTTCCTAGTGGCTGGTGTTTTGTCCTGTTTGGGGCTTATATTTTCATTTTATAGTTTCCTAATTTTTTTTATTAAATGCTAGGCATTTATAAGATTTGTATATTTTCAATTTCAATGTATCTTCAAAATCAAGTTAACAGTTTTTTGAAATCTTAAATTTACAAGATTATATTTATGAATTAAATGTATGCCAAGTGTAAATGTCCAAATGTTTAACCAAACTGGAAAAACTAAATGTGCCCGGGGGTGACTAGGGCAAGGTACGGTGGGGCTGAGCATGAGAGCCTGTGGTTGGGGATTTCGACTCGGCATTGGTCAGTTTGCTAATGATAAGCACACTTACAGGCAGGTTGTTTGCTATATCTGGGAATTAACTAACTCTAGAAGGGGCAGTCCCTCCAGGATCAGAAGGGCCCCTGAAGTCCCGTTCATCTATGGAGTACTCTGACCATTAACATTTAAACTCATTTTTGATGTAGTCTGAATAATACCTACCACATCTGTTACTGTTTTCTATTTGTTAATCTTATTATTTCTTTTTTTTTTTTTTTTTTTTTTGCCTTCCACTCATTTTCTGCCTTCTCTGGTTTTATTTTATAGGATTGTATTTTTGTTTACTTTTAGTATATCAATTATGCTTTTTTCAAAAAATTATTTTTAGTGGTTGCCCTTGAATGTGCAGTATACATTTACAATAAGTCCAAGTGCTCTTTCAAATAACCCTGTGCCATTTCATGGGCTGTGCATGTGCCTTAGAACAGAACATTCCCAATTCCTCGTGCTCATCCTTTAACAGCGTTGCTCTCCTTGTTATTTAAAGTAACTGCTACCTGTTAGATCAACTAAGAAAAGACATATAAAAGATTTCAGTTTATCTTTGTTTATTCTCTCATGCTCTTCCTTTCTTTGTGTAGATTTGGGTTTCTGAACTATAACTTTTTCTTTGTTTCTGAAGAATGTTTTCTAACATCCCTCGCTCGACATGTCTATTGGTGATAAATTCCCTCAATTTTTGTTTGTCCTGATTTACAAATTTGAATTAGATAGTGTATAAGGTCAACTTACCCTCTGATAGCCTATGATTTTGCATTTGTTTTAACTTACATCAATGTCCAATGCGTCATCCATACACATTATACCATTTCACACAGGGACACAGGCTTCACCGTAGGTGACATTTCAAACAATAAGCATTCCTTTAGTCTTCTCATTAATGTAATGTCTTTAGTGATATGGATAAAAATCTTTATCTTGTCACTCTATAGCTTACAGAAAATGCTCTATGGTGAACTATATAGTAGATTTTTCATGTTCAAAAATACTTACACAATTATTTATTGGAAGGCATGAGCAATTTATGAAATCATCTTCACTAAAGTCCCTGGAGTTAAAATCTGCCCATGTAAGTTGTTCTTTCCTTTAACCCAACAGGACTTCTATCCTAGAGGTGCCCCACACCTAGGAGACACTAAAAATTACTCTCAACTGAAAGATTAAGTGAGTAATTAAAATTTTAAGAGGAGCCCAACATTCTCTTGAGCCTGGGACCATGAGAGCATTTCTCCCTAGAAATTCAGGACAGACAAACACACACACACACACACACACACAATTTATACTAAGTATAGCTGCCACAGGCCATGAACCTGGGGATTAAAACCCAGCATAGCAAATATATAAAAGATGAGGGGTCTCAGCTGGTATCTGGGTTATTTCATTCAGTGACCTTCTTGCTGTCTCTCATTCCTTTCTGTCTCTATGCATAACTTCCTGGGTTTATGCTATCAGAAATTACCTTGTTGAGTTCCTGTGATGTCATCCTACAGCAAGAATCCTATCAGAAATTTACTTTGGAAATGACTCTGGAAATGTAAGTTGAGGGCTATGGACTTTGGCTGTAGACCCTGAGAGACCAGTAGCCACCATGTCCTTTCTACGGGACATAAATTGCATCTCATCTCTGAAATACTCGGAGCTTTGTAAGTGCTAAGAGTGGAGCGTGTCTGAGTCACATGAACAGTCTCTCTGTGTGCCCTGCCCCAGGGCCTGAAATGGACCTCTCTAGACTGGTTGTGGATCTGAGCGTTCCCGTCTGCGCTGATCCAAATCCACACATCCAATGACGAAAAAGGAAAGTCTGCAATCCAGCTGCAGCTCCTCCCCCCATCTGCTCTCGCCAGTCTCCTCTGCTCATCCGAATCCAGAAATCCCCTTGAAGTCCATTCACGTTTCTCTCCATGAGGACGTACGTTGCCATCTTGCCTCCCTAAACTGCTGTGCCCTCCTGATACCATAAATATCTCACAGTCAATATAATATTCTGACAATTTATGTGTTTTAACTTACTCAGATAGAGTGGCGTTTTGCACAAGAGAATGTTTCTAAAATCCTCCTATGTGTTTAATGTGATGATGTTGTTTCCAATAAGATGCAATATAGATCTCAGTGGTGTTTCAGCAAATAATTCCTGACCGGGTAATCAGCATTTTTTGAGTCCTCACTCTGTGCTAGACACTGGCTAATGGCTTGAGAAGCAGAGTCTACTTGTGATCGCGGTTTTGCTGTTGAGTGAGAGGAAGCTCACCGAGGCCATGGGCTTATGCAGTGTTGCAGTGCAGCCAGTACCCCAATTGCCATTGACGCTGTGCCCCAGGCTTTCCACCACGCTGGCTGCAATGGGAGCCCTTTCTTCAGTGACCCTGGGGCAAGACGAGTCATTAGATAAACACCTGCTGTGTTTATCTCAAATATTCTTTAGGCTCTTTTGCCTGGACTGCCATATAGGAGCCCTGGCATTTCCTTGTTTATAAATAGTTTGAGACATGAACATTTATCACGATGTGGGCTAACCTCTTTCATCTTACATCAAAAGATGTCTGTTTCTGGGTTTAGTAAATACATCAACCCAGTGCCTGAGGACCCCCGGCTCGGCAGGTGCTGCAAATAGCACTTTCCTCCTGGGATTATGGCACTGTTAAAACACGCGATTTGAAAAATAGTGCTATGTTCAGAAAAAAAAGTCAGTTGCTTTTAAAAAGTATTTTAATGAAATACGTCATATGAACAAAAACCGTAAAACATACACACAGAGTTTAAGGAATTGTAATACACAAATGCCCATATTTGCTGAAGAACCTACGCCTTTTGTTCTAAAAAACATTTGTCTTAAGAAAAAAGAAAAGAATAAACAAACAAATAAGATTTAAACCCTTTTTAGCCCTTATCCTTAAGGGTTAGGTCTTCTAATTGTCATTGATCTAAATTAAGAACCTAAGGGGCCTGCTTCTTATGATGTTACTCCCAGACATAGCTGGTTAATTATGCAAAACCTTCTGAAACTAGGTAGTAGTGTTGGATGATTTTGCCCAACTGCAGCCTAAGGTAAGTGCTCTGAGGACATTTAAGGTAAGCCAGGCTAAGCTGTAATGTTCCATAGATTAAGTGTATTGAATGCGTTTCTTACTGACAATATTGCCAACTTAGGATGAATGTATTGGGACTTAACCCCTGCATAAGTCCAAGAACATCTGTATTTCAAACACTCCTAATTTTACTGTCCATAAACCTTCACTGATACCACATATTTACCTCACATCAGACTGGTATAATGCACCTGCGCTATCCTCCAGTACTTGTAACTCATAGCAAGGTACATAACCTTCCTGAGGTGTTAATCTGGGCCCAAGCATTGAGTCACTGGAGAGACAGTAAGTGCTGGTGGAAGAACGAATACAGAATGAGGAGTGGAAAGCCCTGAGCTTTAGACCCCGCTCAGTTGCAGATTGAGTGGGTTGCTTGAGCAGTTTGGGTAATCTCTCCAGAATCAGTCTCCTCCTGCTGTGAGATGTGGAGTATGACTTAGAATCTGAGAGTCCCAGATGTCCCCGCGCCTGCAGGGAATGATGTAGAATCTGAGAGTCCCGGATGTCTCTGCACCTGCAGGGAATGACATAGAATCTGAGAGTCCCCGCACCTGCAGGGAATGACGTAGAATCTGAGAGTCTTGGATGTTCCCGCACCTGTCCTCTTTCAGGAGCTTGCTTCCTTTCCACCTTTAGTTCTTGTCTATCTTGCAGCAGAAGCAACTCCTCTATAAACACCCTAATACCACCCACTGTACTTTGATGTTTGTGTTTGCTGTACATTGAAAGAAACTTCTCCTTTTTATTTTATTTTATTTTATTTGAGACAGGGCCTCACTCTGTCACCCAGGCTGGAGTGCACTGGATGCATCATGGCTCACTGCAGCCTCTACCACTGGGCTCAAGTGATCCTCCCACTTCAGCCTCCCACGTAGCTGGGATGACAGCTGCACGCCACCACACCCCGCTATTTTTAAAAATTTTTTGTATAAATGGATTCTTCCTATGTTGCCCAGGCTTGTCTCAAATGCATGAGCTCAAGGGGTCCTCCTGCCTCAGCTTCCCAAAGTTCTGGAATAACAGGCATGAGCCACACACTGGCCCCATGATTTATTTGTTTGTTTCTCTTCAATTGGTTAAAATAGACTATTAAACAAAGGTTTATGAGAAGCCTATCTAGAGCCGGGAGTGTTCCTTGATGTGTTCACTTTACTACTTCGTCTGTTCTTCTTAAAGATTCAAGGAATAGCGGTGTTGATGCACGGGATGGGGAAAGCACTGGTTCTCATCCTCCCATTCTCTCCACTTTGACCCGTTTTCAAGAATTTTTAGGCTGTGTCACCTGAAGACACTTGTAAGCCATAAAGTGCCATCCACAATGGCTCAGGACAGACCTTGTCACCATGCCCTCTTGCACTGTTGTCACTTGGTTCAATCAGAGCACCTGAGAAGGCTGTTCTAGCACAGACTCTCAGGAGCTGGGGTCGGCTTCTCCACACTTCTCCATAATCATTGTGAAAGTGCTGCCTCTATATCTCATTATTCAAGCCCAGGACATAGAAAACAAGAACCAGTTTTAGAAGACTAGGGAATTGTACCTCCCACCAATTCAAAGAGTTCCTCTATCAAATGACAAACCTACAAAATGCCTTGACACACACAACTTACTTGTAAACAAACATATTTTCCAACATCAGTTGTATTTTTGACAGATATTAAGACACTTCATACTCTCCAGAGATAATTCCTAGATAAACTGTGAAATATTAGCTCCATGCTACAAATTTATGCTACGCTATCATTTAGCATTTAATAATGTTGCATGTTTAGTAAAATTTTCATGTTATCTAACATCTCTTCACATGTGGTTTATATAATTCTAAGATGCTTGAAGAAAGAGAATATTTTATTTTATTCTTATATAGTAACACAATGCCCTCTTCCATAAAAAGTTATCATTTACTTGAAAATAATATGCTCATCATTCATACAAAATATTCAAATTCAGATTGAAATGTCAACCACATTAGACATTATGCTTCTTGCTCATATCTTAAGATGACAGCTCAGAAAATATCTCCAGATACAACTACAAGTTAAAGATTAAAAAGTGACCTAAATGGCAAAACAAAATAGACTTGTTTATCGAAAAAATTACTATAAATATTCCAGACAAATTTTTAAGATATTAATGTAAATGAGCTACTAATTGAACCTAGTGGTATTGTTATAAAATACACACCATTCGTAACGTAGATGGTGATTCTAAGGAGAACGCTTGTCTCTTTTTATATTAATCTCCAAATAAATCAATTTAGGACATAATTTAGAGAAAATGCTAGAAAACAGATGATGTATTTTCCATTTTTAAATTTGTAGTTAGAAAAGAAAGTATGAAGAACTGAACTAAAGATCTACTCAGAAAATACTATGGTACCGTTGCTAATAGTTGAGACACAACCTCTGGTGTGTTTTATTTTAATTTTTCTAGAACGTCTTAATTTCTTCTCTGCCTCTCCCCGTCGGTAATCTGTGAGTATATATTGTGTCCAAGGCACTGTGACAGGTGAACAGGAGCAAGGGGGATGGAGTGGTGAGGGCCTTTATTCTAGTTAGTAATGACGATAGTTATTTAAAAGAAATCCATTTCCATTAATCCAAAGGTTCTGTCTCTTTCTTTCTTTTTCTTTCTTGTTTTAATCCTTACTTTCATCTTTTTTTCCTTGTCTTTGAATTCATCTTTTATCACTTTTTTCCCCACAAACACTAATCTAGATGTAAAAGCAAGAAAAAATGCTTCACCTCCATCCAAAAAAAAGCTCTCTCTCACACAGGAAGATCAAAGGAAGAGAAGACCCCCAACGCCCTTGAGTATCATGCTTTCCGGATCATTCTGTGCAGGCTGAGGGTGATTGCTTTGCTGAGCACACATTTCGTGTGACATTTCACCACCATTAGGCAAACATTATTCTTTCTGTTGGTATTTGTTTAGCAAGCAGTATACTCAGAGCTGTATGATTTATATAAGTCTCCATCTCTTCCTGGTGGCTTAGGCTAAATTATTATCCAGACGTTCCAACTCAGACACACAATAAAGGAGAGTTTACTGAGCCTCGATGCTGTGCTTCCACCAAACAAAGCCGTATTCTTCCTCATTGTCTCCTGCACTGCACTCATGTTTCTAACAAAAACGTGGGCTGATCTGTCAGCTGAAACAGCTCTAGGCTTTTTGGTATTTCCAAATTTATTTTCAGAGAATGCATATATATATATATATATACACACACACACACATACATACACACACACACACGCACACACATACATACATATATATAAACATATATAATATATATAATATATAAACATATATATGTAATTTAGGGGCTGATGTGGGTAGAAATATTTAGATATTACTGCTTAAAAATAAACATATTGCTGCTTTCATTTACTTTAGACGAAGTGAGCATACTTAGGTGTTATCCTGGGTAGTGTACATTTTCGCCTGTTTTCCCGACATAACCAGCAACAGTGCCCCTCTCACTCACAACATAAGTGAGTTATATCGTCACCCTGACTTTAAAGGGTAGAATAGTGAGCTCTCACCTCTTATTACTTTGGGTAGCTGTAGGAGACCTTGAGTCTTCTAAATCAATGTTATAAAGAAGGGTTCAGAGATTAAATAGGTTTCTAGAAGACTGAATCACAGAGCTTTAAAACTTGGGGGACATAATTCTCAGAGCTGTTATTATGCTAGTGGTTGTGTGTGGAGTTGTCAGAGGAGTTTGTTCAAAGAAAGCTATTCTTTAGGGTCATTTTCCATTTTCTTGTCCATGGAGTGCTTTTAGCAGAAAATGCTTGATTGTCTAGTGTTTTTTATAATAGACACATCTAGAATTTTGTATTAATGGGGCATGTCTCCCTAGGAAATATTATGTAAGTTTGTAACTGTCTGAGTCTAGAACTAGAGATATTTCAGGCCAAAGGTGGCCTGGTTATCTGGGTGAGGGCATGGTGGCCTGGTTACCTGAGTGAGGGCGAGGTGGCCTGGTTATCTGGGTGAGGGCGAGGTGGGCCAGTTAGCTGGGTGAGGGCGAGGTGGCCTGGTTAGCTGGGCAAGGGCGAGGAGGGCCAGTTAGCTGGGTGAGGGAGAGTTGGCCTGGTTAGCTGGGTGAGGGTGAGGTTGACTGGTTAGCTGGGAGAGGGAGAGTTGGGCCGGTTAGCTGGGTGAGGGAGAGTTGGGCCGGTTAGCTGGGTGAGGGCAAGGTGGGCTGATAAGCTGGGTGAGGGCAAGGTGGGCTGGTTAGCTGGGTGAGGGCGAGGTGGGCTGGTTAGCTGGGTGAGGGCGAGGTGGGCTGGTTAGCTGGGTGAGGGCGAGGTGGGCTGGTTAGCTGGGTGAGGGAGAATTGGGCTGGTTGGCTGGGTGAGGGAGAGTTGGGCTGGTTAGTTGGGTGAGGGTGAGGTAGGTTGGTTATCTGGGTGAGGGTGAGGTGCCCTGGTTATCTGGGTGAGGGTGAGGTGACCTGGTTAGCTGGGTGAGAGCAAGGTGGTCTGGTTAGCTGGGTGAGAACACTTTTGTGGAGGTCAGCTACAGATCCCAGACATCAGCTTGCCTCTATAGTAAAGGTCATACTTGCTAAATCAGATTTGTGGAAATCTGACTTGACAATCTAATCTTCTGTGTTTCTCAGACCTGGAGCCATTAAGTTTAAATTTCAATGGAAGAAGCATATGATAGGAATGTTTTAAGTTAAAAACAATAAAATCGTTTCAAAAAGCTATAAATGTGTGAATGGATAAAAGGATGAGATACAGTCAGTGAGGAGGGAGAAGGAATTCACACACGGGGCTGAGAGAAGGTCTTTGGAGAAATGAAAAGTGAGTAGAAGGAAACGGCCACAGAAAAGCTCAGAAAAAAACCTTTCTGAGGGAGCAAAACAGCACTGAGGCATTTTCATGTGAAAAACAAAGAGAAAGTCACGTGGCTATGATGTGGTTAAGAAGACAGGAGTAGTAAAGACCTGCTCAGAGCTATAAATGGGTTCTTTACAATGTGGGGCTATGGTAAGCAGTTGTAATATTATTTAGGGTAGTATGGAGTGTCACAGATATTTTAGAGAGATTTTCACGGTTGGATTTACATCTTCAGTGATTATCCTGGACAACTGATTATAGCAAGTGGGAATGAGAGGCTACTTCAGAAGCTACTGAAAAACATTTTTACAAACACAATTACCTGAGGACCAGGCAGGCTGGTGTTGAGGGGAATCCACAGTTGGGAAGCAAAGAACACAGGGCGGTTTCCTAGCGGTTTTTTTTCTTTCTTACACCCAAGTTCGCCCCGGGTGGCTTTTGTCGTAGAGCAGCACGGTGAGGGTTTCTAACAGAAACCTGCTGCCTTCTGTCCATGGAGTCGGAGGAAGAGCCTGGAGAGTTTAGGATGTAAAAGGAAAGCAGCAAAGATGTGTAACAACACACTGGAAGCTGTGATGACTGACCTGAGCCTAAAGGCTGGAAAGTATCTGCTTAACAAGACAACAGAGTTCTCCAGAGGATGAGAGTCTGCAAACCACGACATTCACGGTACCCAGTGAAAAAAGCTCATTGATTGGAGACCTCAATTTCTCTCTGTGTGGGCCGCACACAAAGCTGTTGAGTGTCCTCACATGTGACTGGCTTCCTTCAGAATACATGATCCAAGAGGCCGCAGGATTCACTGCAATGCCTTCGTGTCCTAGCTCTAGAAGTCAGGCATGGTCACCTCCACCATATTATATTGTTCACACACAGCAGCCCTGGTTAAATGTTGGAGGGGCTCAAACACATGCGTCAATACCAGGAGATGAGGGTGACTGCAGGTCATCCTGGAGGTGGCTACCACAGTCAGTCCCCTGGCTCCCCAAACACATCCATCTGCCATGGCACCTAGAAGGTCACCTTCTCCCTTAACCCCTCTCCTTTGAAGACCTTCATTCCAGAGGAGTCCTGCCCTGTCCCTGGGAGTAAGGAACACATACAAAGAGGTCAAGAAGACCCAGAACAGGCAGTCCTTGCTGGGTTTCCCTTCACTTTGGTATTTGTTTATTTGTTTGGTTAGTTGTTTTGACACGGAGTCTCACTCTGTCGCCCAGGCTGGAGTGCAGTGGTGCTATCTTGGCTCACTGCAACCTCCACCTCCTGCGTTTAAGCAATTCCCCTGCCTCCTCCTTAGTAGCTGGGACTACAGGTGCCCGCCACAACACCCGGCTAATTTTTGCATTTTTAGTAGAGTTGGGGTTTCGTCGTGTTGGCCAGGCTGGTCTCAAACTCCTGACCTCAGGTCATTCAACTTTGTTATGGCTTGGTCACAGCCTTTTGTCCGAACACATTTCTACACAGCTGTCCATTTTTTATGGAACCTAAGCATAAAAGTAGTTGTTGTTGGGTTTGGGGGTCTTTATTTCTGAAAGATCGTATACCATCTAAAACTTTGACTTCATAAATTTGTGATACTTTTCTCTCATTCGCCTGTCTTTTGTTATAGGAGTATCAGCTGTGACCCTTATGACAGGTAAGGGAAGGTATGACACCTTCCTGCTTCTGTAGTAGCTTTAAGGAAAGATGAGAAACCAGGCTCTGAAGACCATCACCAAATTCATTTGCCCCATTTCAGCCTGTAGACAGTGGCCCGTGGCAATAAAGATAAAAATCTTTCTCCCTTAGCGGCTGGGTTACTGTGATCACTACTGCAGCAGGGAGAAAACTGTCCTCTAAAGTTAATCTGGAAACCAACAGAAGTAAGGCCAGAATTTTAAATACTAAATATTATACTGTTTGCTTCAGACATGAACCTTCATGCAACATGTGAGTGGTGCATAACATTCTTATTTAAAACGTAAATTTATCTGATTATACCTAAAATTCTTCAATATAACTAGGTCCAATGCAGGCATAATTCAGTTCCATGAGGGATGGATATATTGTGAGCCTGATGATGTTAGTGTTCTAAGATAAAATATTTGGGTCGCTCCATCTAGCCCCTCTATGATGTGGCTCCACTCTGCTCATTCAACCTCCCCAGTGTGCTTAGACTCCTCACGGCACCCAGCTTCTTTTCTAACTTCCCAGTGAAAGGAATTAACACACTAAGGTGACCCAATTAAACCCTGGTCATCATTAATAATTTTAAGAATGGGGGAGGGTTTTAAATGAGAACATTTTAGCAGAAGGAAAGGCTGGTTCTAAAAGTTAAAAAATGAGGTAGCTTTACAGGTTTAAACATTAAGAATAGAATAGTTGTTTATTGTGTTGATAAGGCAAGAATTAGATGGACAAAAAAAGTCGTCATAAACTGCAGACCTGGATTTTCTGCTGATTTATCCCTGAAGTCCCCAGTGTGACAGGCTGCAAGGATGAAAGCTGCTTTGATTCGAATGCATAGAAATGCAACACGAGGGTAAAAACCTAAAAAACATTAAACTGACCAAAAGGCATCATTCATACACATCATATGCCATTTATATCCTGAGACAGTAGAGCCCAAGCTGTAAAGATCCAGAAAGCAAATAAATAAAATCATCCAGACCCAGATCAGGGGTGGGGAATGAGGCCCAGGGCAGGAGATCTGCACGGCTTGCCAACACAATGCAATGCATGGGCAGGTCCTTAGCCCTGACGGAGGGTCTTAGATACCTTATTCCTGACTCAGGGTCTCAGATAAGATGCAACGCCTCGGCAGGTCCGTACCCCTGACCGAGGGCTTAGATAAGATGCAATGCCTAGGCAGGTCCTTACCCCTGATGGAGGGTCTTAAATAAGGTGGAATGCCTGGGCAGGTCCTTAGCCCTGCTGGAGAGTCTTAGATACAAAGCAATGCCTAGGCAGGTCCTTAGTCCTGACCGAGCGTCTTTGATACGATGCAGTGCCTCGGCAGGTCCTTAACCCTCATGGAGAGTCTCAGATAGGATGCAATGCCTGGGCAGGTCTTTACCCCTCATGGAGTGTCTCAGATATGGTGCAATGCCTCGGCAGGTCCTTAACCCTCATGGAGAGTCTCAGATAGGATGCAATGCCTGGGCAGGTTCTTACCCCTGACGGAGGGTCTTAAATAAGATGGAATGCCTGGGCAGGTCCTTAGCCCTGATGGAGGGTCTTAAATAAGATGGAATGCCTGGGCAGGTCCTTAGCCCTGATGGAGGGTCTTAAATAAGATGGAATGCCTGGGCAGGTCCTTAGCCCTGATGGAGGGTTTCAGATAAGAAGCAATGCCTGGGCAAGTCCTTACAAGGAAGGTCTTAGATAAGATGCAATGCTTGGGCGGGTCCTTAGCCCTGATGGTTGGTCTTAGATAAGGCCAAATTAACAAACATGCAAATAAAATAAAATGCCAGAATTGCTTATAAAATTAAGCAGAACTTTGCTTATAGTTTTTTTTCTGTTAAAAAATGATCATTTTTTAGTTGAGTGGAATACAGGAAAATTCAGATAACTACTCATATCTGAGAATTAATGCATTTACTTTTTTTAAAAAAATGGACAAGAAGTACATAATTTCCACTAGATATAAGTAATTTAGATATGTCAAATATTATCTCATAATTTGATGCATTTTTCATATTTTGAGAATAAATATCTGAGTTCAGAAAAACGACAAGTATATATCAAACCTTTATATAATTCATAAAATGATTTTGAATGTTAATAAAGAAGTTATTTATTTATGGAGTTATTGAAAAAAGTTAAGAGGAAAAAATTCCATGATAGCGTTTAAGGATTTATAGATGGTAAAATACTAGCATTTAAAAACGATATTCTATAAAAGCACTGATTTCGTTCTGAGATCATTTTCTATACTTATTCACTCAACCTTCTCTGGCTGTTCCAGAAATTGTACAGAGAGCTTCAGATGAACTGCGAAAACGAATTTGAGGGTTTTTAAGGTAAAACCTCTGTCACAAAGGCAGTTTCTACTTAACAAAAGCAATAGAAAAAGAAAGAAAAGACCTGCATTGACACTTCACTCTGCAAAAATAGTACACAAAAATGAGTATAATTATTATGCTCGTATTTCAAGCAATACACAACTAACTTAAATGTGGAGGGGCTTCTTTGCATAATGATAAGATAGATTACTGTATAACTTACCTATACAGGATATAATTCTATAATCACTGTTCATATTGTGATGAACAATATAGCTCTCTTTTCATTCAATATGTATCAAATACTACCAAAGTTATCAAATACTGTGCTAATGTCCTTCAAAGAAATATTTACTTCCTCACCTTTACTTTAGGAATGGTTTAAGAGAAATATACTGGTATATTCTCATGTGTATAAACACAAACAGGCAGCAAAGCTGGAACAATGTACAATGGTTGGGATTTATGTTTAAACATCCTCAAGAGATTATTTGAAACTATGAGAAAGAAATTATATCTATATATTACTTATTGATATCATATTTACCATAATTAATAAATTTATAACACAAATATGTATGTAATATTGTATGTATAATTTAATTTAAAGCGATGAGTTCTGTAAATTTGGAAATTAAAGCCCTGTCTGTAAAATGATCTGTGTCATTGGTGGTTTAGATCAGCGATTCCTATACTTGCAGATTTACAGATGAGTGAAATTTTACAACAAATATACAGGCAACAGACATCAAATTGTTTAATTTCGCTAAGTGAAGAATGTTTAACAGTTACGGTTAAACATTATGATTCCATCTCAAGGCATCGAAGGACATACAGTATATAATTATTTAAATCAAATCACTTTATTTAATAAAAAGCTCTCTACAGTATTTTTTTTCCCAATGACTTTACATCAGTTCTTCCAAAACATGTGTAACCTTTCATCTACTCTGTGTATCTACTGCTTTTGAAAATCAATTCCATTCATATTGACTGGGACTGGACATTCCTCTTTTTCAAAACCTCTCCAAAAATTATAACAATTAAAAGAGTTACGAAGACAACCTAGATATTCTTCCTTTATCACCCCAGAATTCAAATGTTGTGATTTTCCATCACCCACCTGCAAACTTAATTTCTCTAAGGACTCTACTTTAATCTTTCTCTTACATAAGGTTACAACCTTATGGGGACTTTCTTGCGTTTTCCTTTCATTTTTCCATGTGCAAAAGTCCTGCCATGTCACGTGGACTGGACTGCTCAGGACCTCACTCAGGCGGCCGTATTTACTTGCTGCGTTCTTTGGCATCACACTACAAGCCTTCCTCCTCCAGCGGATTCTGTCCCACCAGGCACATAGAGCTCATGGCTGGGGCCCACTCATCCACAGCATCTATACCGTTATCTTTATTTATTTTTATTTTTATTTTTAGATGGAGTCTCACTCTGTTTCCCAGGCTGGAGCTCAGTGGCACAATCTCGGCTCACTGCAACCTCCACCTCCCAGGTTCAAGAGATTCTCCTGCCTCAGCCTCCCAAGTAGCTGGGATTACAGGCACCTGCCAACCTGCCTGGTTGTATTTTTTGTAGAGATAATTTTTGTATTTTTAGTAGAGATGGGGTTTCACCATATTGGCCAGGTTGGTCTTGAACTTCTGACCTCAGGTGATCCGCCCGCCTTGGCCTCCCAATATGTTGTTATCTTTAATTAAAGCCTTGTCACCTGAGCTTCTGGATCACGACATCTTACTGCCTTTAAAATTGGAGATTTTTTTACTACATTTGTCAGATTTAGCTAAAGCAACCTTGATAGCACAGACTGCCTTTATTTTCAATAATTCTCATTTGTAAGTATTGCTTCTTTGTAACATGGCGTGATTGTCCAACCTCTGTTATTTTCCGTGAAATGTTGTGACTAAGTCAGAATTTATCGATGCTTTCCTAAAACAACTACTCAGACATCCAGAGCTGCCCAAACTCAACCTTCCTAGAGTCATGAAAGACTCTGTTACTCACAGAGATGCCCTGGGACTCATTCTTTCCTTTCTGTAGCAAGGTCATTAATGGACAGCATGTGTGTTATTGTAGCTAATTGGCTCTTCCTGCAGTTTCTCTCCTACAGGTCATGAGCACAAATAAAGTCCAATAGAGTCATGCAATCTGATGCAATGTTGGAAACAGTGCTTTTAGGTAAAAGGTGTATCTCTTAGATTTCAAGCTAGTCTAACCCCGAAGGTGAGGTTGAGTGTGGTGTGTAAAGAAGAAACTTTGAGGAAAGTTCCCCTGTCTGCCTGTCAGGGTCTTCTGCTACATGCAGGTCTTAACTGACCCTGGCTTATGGCAGAGTCTGTCTGCCTGGGCCCTCCTCACTTCCAGGAAATGCACTGTTCACCTCTGGTGCACAAGGAAAGTGTTGTACATCCTTGGTTCTACATCGCATAGGCTGGATTTTCTTCCTAATGGGTCCTGCATACCTCCTGAGACTCACCTGTGACTCTGACTTTCTTTGGCCCCAGCACTTGGCCCCATTAATCTGCTTCAAAGCCATTTCAACCCCAATGCAGCAGCCACTCCTGGCAGAACCCCTCCTCCCATGCCAGCCACCCTCTTGAGGTACACACACTCATCTCTGAGTTCCTTCTAGCCCACACAGAAGGGGAGCCAAGGAGTGCTGCACTCAGGAACTTTTCCTGCCTACATATGAAATGGTGAATCCCCAAGTGGTAAGTGTTAGCCAGCTGGGTAATGTCAGAGTCCTATTTAGAGAGGGGGTGGAGGCCCTGATGCTATTGATTCTCAAATTATCTATAACAGATCCATCTTCAGAATCTAAGCACAGAGGGAAGCGATCGGGACATACAAGGGCCATCTGAATCTCTATCTCTCCCTGCCCTCTACCGATGACCCCACATTTTTGCCCCGTGCTATTTTGCGAATGTCCAGAGGCAGGGCTCCCCTGGAAGCTTGTAGCCTCCAGCAGGACAACAGTGGGTACAGGCTGCTGCCCCCACAGCCTTCCCACCTGCAGCACACACAGAGGATGCTTGGAAAGGTACCTCCCACCAATCTAGGTTGAGGTGGAACGAAGGACTGCAGTGCTGGTCTAAACACACACCTCTCCCCTCCTCACCTGTCAGCTGACCTAAACACACCTCCCTCCCCTCATCATCTGTCAGCTGGTCTAAACACACCTGTCTTCCCTCCTCACCTGTCAACTGATCTAAACACACAGACACCCCTCCCCTCCTCACCTGTCAGCTGGTCTAAACACACAGACACCCCTCCCCTCCTCACCTGTCAGCTGATCTAAACACACAGACACCCCTCCCCTCCTCACCTGTCAGCTGGTCTAAACACACCCACCTCTCCTCCTCACCGGTCAGCTGATCTAAACACACCCCCCTCCCCTTCCTCACCTGTCAGCTGATCTAAACACACCTGTCTCCCCTCCTCACCTGTCAGCGGATCTAAACACCCCCCCCCCCTCCTCACCTGTCAGCTGATCTAAACACACCCCCGTCCCCTCCTCACCCAGTGACCTTGACAACTCAAAGGAACGGGTCTAGGCCTTTTCCAATCTCTACACCATATATTTTCATACTTGGAGCTGCAACCGCAGAATAGAGGTAATAAACAGAAATTGCCTCTTGTCTGCATTTTGAAAGAAAGCCCATGATCCAAATCCTCTCACTTTAAATTCTGACATAATAACTCTATTTAGAAACTCCTGATTCTCATGACCAATTCTGGCTTTAGGGTTATTTTTCTGGCTGAAGAAAGTACAATTTTGAGTTTTAGAAGTTTATTAGTAATTGCATTTTTTCTTGTCTATAATTTGAAATACTTTTATCTACTTCTCTAATCACAATAAAGAAAGACTGTAATCGCTTTGGATGAAATATCATATGCATGTCATGGGAAAATGAAATAGAGAACAGAATATCAATATTTCCAAATACGCACTGATTCAATAGTTATTGATCAAATATTTTAGTACAATACACACTGCTAACACTATATAACAGAATTAAATAGTACAGGATTGGATAAGAAGATAGCTGGGGAATATTAGAAAACAAGTTTGTTTGTTTGTTTTTAGAGAACTTATAAGCAAGAAGCTAGGAGGTTATTAAAAGCTGCTTTCCCTAAGGCCGAACTGGGTTGAATAGAACATTTTCACATCTTTAGCCGGGTGTGGCGATGTTCACTTCTGGTCCCAGCTACCTGGGAGGCTGAGGTGGGAGAATCTCTTGAGCCCAGGGGTTTGAGGTGCACTGAGCCTTGATCCCAGCACTGTACTGCAGTCTGGGAGACAGAGGAAGACTTTGTCTAAAAAATAAAAATTAAAATATATATATATATATAAATTTGACATCTTCTTTGTGCTTGCCTGTTTGTCGTTCATGCAATTGCGCTACCTTGCCTCCTAATTTGCAGAGAATGACTTCCCCATCTCCTGTGTTCTCGCTTCTTTTTTTTTTCTTTTTTTTTTTTTTTGAGACGGAGTCTCGCTCTGTCGCCCAGGCTGGAGTGCAGTGGCGCGATCTCGGCTCACTGCAAGCTCTGCCTCCCGGGTTCTTGCCATTCTCCTGCCTCAGCCTCCCAAGTAGCTGGGACTACAGGCACCCACCACCACGCTCGGCTAATTTTTTGTATTTTTAGTAGAGACGGGTTTCACCGAGTTAACCAGGATGGTCTAGATCTCCTGACCTCATGATCCGCCCGTCTCGGCCTCCCAAAGTGCTGGCATTACAGGCGTGAGCCACCCCGCCTAGCCTCTCATTTCTAATGCACTAAAATCTTGACACAGAAGCACTTTTCCAGCGTCTTCATCTCTACCCCCTTTTCCAATGTTGACCAAATTACTTGTAATATATTTAATTTAATTTAAATAGTAACTAAAAAAGTAAAATTCTTATCTAAGATCATCATCCATAAAGAAACATATAGATATTAATGCAAATCAATAAACATATCTATATATAACCTTATCTACATAAAATTGAGTACACTGATCATTGTATTAAAATGAAATTATCATGAGTATCTTTCCAGTTCATCACAATTTACACTCAAGACTATTTACAATGTAATGGCTACCTGCTATTCATTCCTATGATTTTCCTCTAAGTGATTGAACCAACCCACATTGTCAGGTATGCAGGTTACTTCAACATTTTTGTGAGTAAACTTTGTGAAAAATTATTGTGACTTTTGAAGATTGATTTTTAGAAATTTTATTGTTAAAATTTTTATCGGTTTATTAAAACACATACATTTTTATTAAATATAAGAAACAAAGGCATTCTTGAAGAAGAAATAAATAATAAAGGCCCACATAGATTCTGAAGGGTATGAAGAAGTGAGAAGGGGCAGGTCATGCTCGGTCTTAATATCAGATAAAAAGACAAGAGTTCTTATCAACGGATTTCGTATGATCCTGTCATTTCCTCTCAACAGGTTCATCGCATTACTCATTGGTTACTCAGCACACACTGTAGGTTGCTTATACAATACGTAGTTTTCCCTCTTCATTGGTGGCTAAATCATAATTTTGTTTGGGAAAGCAACATGTCTAGGTGGAATGCTGATTTTTCTGATTCATTGAAAACCAAAAAACATTGGCCAATGACACATGAACCACAACCTCCAAGGATTTGGGGGATGTTTTTATTTTCCTGGCCTTCCCCTCTTCTTTCTGCATCAGGCATAAACATGGTGCTGGAGGTGAAATGGCATCTTATAATCTTGAGGCAACACACGTGAAGACAAAACCCACATGGTGGGGAGAAAAGAGAACAGGAAACCAGGATATTGATGACATTGGCTCCCGGTGATTATGATCAGGCAAGCCTGGGAAACACGGCTGTGAGGGATCACCCTACCCAGAGGTCACAGCCGAGAATGGAACCGGAGCTTAATAAATATTTAATGAATACATTAAAAAATAGGTAATTCAAAACAAATTATTTGTCAGTTTTGTTTTCTCTATTTTTAACACAATTTTTAGCCTGGAACTTTACAAATTAACTTTAAAAAGAGTTTGCTGCATACATATATTTTCAAATTATAAATGAGACTTAGTCTAATCGTTCTAATATGGATTTGCTTTGCTTTCAAAAACATATCCTACTTCTCAACTCCATTGAGAAATTGGTTTAAAAGTGAGGTGATTGGTAATGTTTATTTTTATGTTAATTTAGAATAAATAGAAAATAATTTTGAACCCTTCAAAATCTTCACCCAATCTTTAATTGCAGCTTCTAATTTAAATCTTCTCAAAGTACATATCTAACTTAATAAATTAAAGTAAAATCTATGACCCTAACAAAGTTAGTCCATCAATTAAAATTATGTTAAAATATGAATCGCTGTGCAAAAACAAAAAGGCTAAAAGACACAGAATCACACATTCTTCATCATCACAGTCAGAGCAGGTGCTCATCCCAGTGAAAGATGGTAAGTCATGCAGTCAGAAGACAATGCCAAGTTCTTCACAGAAGCATCACCTAAGGTGCCCAGCTCATTTATCGGGTCTGAGACTTCAATACTTACTCCAGATTTTCTTCATTATCTTTACATTGTCTCCAAATTGTCTTACAGTAGTGCAGGTTTACAGTGAACTTGCCGAACTCCAGTACTTATTTTGAACAATGTTAGAATCATCATACTGACATTCTCTCAGTATGAGCAATCAGTAGGATATGTTCCGACCATGCTAGGTGATGCAAACTTAAAATTAATTCAGAAAATTGCCATTTGAAGATTTCTGAAGCTATAGTTCATTTCATCTGAGCGTGTGATTTTGAGAATTCTAATCATCTCTAATTACTTTTTATTTTATTCTTCACAATTGTTACGAATTGCTCCCATGAATAGGAGGACCGTCGATGAATATTTATCAAGTTTTCACTTACTCTAAAGAATGTGGTTTTATATTCCTATCAAATGTTTAGTCTTCCACCCACCCTCTCATTTTCTCTTAAAGGAATCTTGGCATGATTGCTTAAATTCTAGTTCACTAAAGAGGCTACATTTGCTAATGGTAGCATCAAAAATGTGCTGATTGGAATAGCTCCTTAACTTGATCTATGGCCCAGGATTTTGGATTTTACAAGAAAAATAAGAAGGGTGGTAGGAGAGGCTGGAAAGGGTAGCAGGGAGGAGAGAATAAAGAGGGGATGATTAATGGGTACAAAAATACAGTAAGATAGACGAAATGAGAAGGAGAATTCGGTAGCAACTATTGTAACAGTGTATTGTATATTTCAAAATATGTCCAGAGGCAGGGCTCCCCTGGAAGCTTGTGGCCTCCAGCAGGACAACAGTGCATACAGGCTACTGGCCCCCCGTACCCCCAGCCTTCCCACCTGCAGCACACACAGAGGATCCTTGGAAAGATACCTCCCACCAATGTAGGTTGAGATGGGAATGAAGAACAGCAGCGCTGATCTAAAAACACCCCTCTCCCCTCTTCACCTGTCAGCTGATCTAAACACACCCTCCTCTCCCCTCACCTGTCAGCTGATCTAAACACACTGATCTGAAAGAGTGGAATTGCAATGTTCTAAAAGCTCTAAAAGAGCTTTCTTCTCTAAAAGAGCTGATCTAAAGGAGTGGATTGCAATGTTCTATTCCTAACACACAAAACATGATAACTGCTTGAGGTGATGGATACTTCAATTACCCTGATTTGATCATTACTCATTGAATGCTTGTCAAAATGCCACATGTACCCCATAAATATGTGTAACTATTATGTAGACATAGTAAGTTCAAATAAAAAATAAGAAAGGTGGTTCACGGTCCATATTTGGGAACAATTTTATTTGGTTCACACCCAACATACTGCCTTCTCCACACAAGCTTATGTCACAAAATTGCAGCTACTGATCACGTGACTCTTTGATTACTGTTGCCATTTCCCTTTGTTACTTATCTCACACCATCAGAATACCAAAAATGACAAGTGGCTGAAGTTTAGGGAACAAGTGAGTATTTAAAGAATTATGTGTACCTATATTCTGGATTTTCTCAGCTTATATTTCATGAAGATAAAATTTTCTACGTTTTAAGTTCTAGCATTATTTCCCACTTGTATGTATATTGGGCTCATCTACTTTTTATACTTTTAATTTGGGTAGTATCAAACGTGAGTAGATTTAAAACGCTATTTTAAATGGAGTGGAAAAAGCAATGGAAAAGAAATCCTGGTGTGCAATTAAAGGAGGGTGGTGTGGTTTGTTTCTCCTCCTCACCAGCAAATCTGCGGGCCATCCATCCAGGGAGGGCAAGGCCTGGGCCCTTCTGCTCGGCCGTCAGCGTGGGGCGTGGTCCTGATGAAGTAGCCCTTGTACTCTGAATCTCAGACTCCTTGGCTACAAGGAAGATGGTATGATTCCAATTGTCTGAGTACCTAGATTATTTAAACTCATAGAGGCAGCAGGTACCATGCTGATCCCGGGGGCAGGAGGAGGGGGAAGTGGGTTATTCACACTAATGGTACAGAGCCTCAGTTAGGGCAGGTGAAAGTTCTGGAGATTGGTATAACAATATGAATGTATTAGGTTGGTGCAAAAGCAATTGCTGATTTAGAAGTAATGGCAAAACCAGCAATTACTTTTCCACCAACCTAATACTTAATGCCAAAAAGCTGTACCGTTACAATGGTTACAATGGTAAATTGTATGTTATCCACATTTAACTATAATTTTAAAAGGAAAACGAAAAAGGGGAAAGATAGGAAAATGGGAAGAAAAAAAGAGAGAGAAAGAAGAAGAAAGGAAAAAAGGAAAGAAAAATTACCTAGTCATAAATTTGAACCAAAGAGATCAAAGGCTTGTACACTGGAAATTAGAAAACATTTATGGAAAAAATTACAGAAAATATAAATTTTAAAAAGACATTTCTTTGTCATGGATTGAAATACTTAATATTGTGAAGACGTCAGTACTACACGAAATGATTCACAGAGTCCATGCAATCCCTACCAAAACTCCAACAGACTTTCTGCAGAAATAAAGTAGCAAATTCTCAAATTCATTTGGAATTGTTAGGGGCCCCAAGGTGTCAAAATAATCTTGACAAAGTATACCAAAGTGAGACGACTTACAAAACATATCACAAACTACAGTAATAAAGCAGTGTGATCCTGGCATAAGCTTATATAGAGAGACAAATGGAATAGATCAAGGCTGCAGAAATAAACTCATGCATCTGCAGCCAACTGATTTTAATAAGGGTGTACAGTCTATTCAATGGGCACAAAAAATAGTCTCTTCAACAAATGGTGCTTGGACAACTGTATTTCCACTTGCAGGAGAATGAAGTTGGATTCCTACTTTACACCACATGCAACAATGAGCACAAAGTATTTCGAAATCTAAGTATCCAAGCTAAAGTTATACAGCGGTTGCAAGGAAACACAGAGATTGATCTTCATAGCTTTAGATTTGGTCATAGATTTTAACAGATAACACCAAACGCGTGAACAACAGCAACAATAGCAAAGCACGCACGGCACTTGATGAAAATGTGAGACTTTGCCATCTCCGTCCAGTCCGCTTGCATGGCTGTGCTGCCCTTTGAGGACACTGACCCCTGGGGAGTCACTAGGACAAGGAGCAGACGTTGTGTGCAGGAGAATTAAACAAGCAATGGGGAAAAGTGCTTGCATGTGGGGATTATTTGTTAACACAATATAACCTTTTCAGCCTACCTAATGCATTACCCCAAGCTCCTAAAGAATTCATCTGTTTTTTTTTTTTTCTATAACAGTTTAATCTTTAGCCATTTACATTTAGGTTTTTAATATATTAGATTTCCAATTTCTAACTAATTTGCCTAAATAGAAAAACTGATTGTTTATTCTTCCCATGTGAAACTGTCATTCCCTTCCATTCTCCAGCAATGCACAATGTCATGTCTGACATACTTCGCATTCATCTTCAAGGTCAGCAGTGTCTTCACTGTATCTGAGCCATATTTTTTCCATATAAAATTTGGGAATCTACTTGTCAATATCCTCAGAGAAACCTTAAAAAAACACACAAAACAAAGAAAAAACCTCCCTTGTTGGGAGTTTGGTATTTTGTTGAATTATAGAACAATTTAAAGATGAGTTCATTACGGTGTTCAGTATTTCCTCCACGATTCTGCGATTTATGTTTCTAGTTTTATGGCAGCACTAGAGATCTAGTGTAATGTGAAGTGGTAAGAGATAGTGCTCTTGTCATATTTCCAGTGTTTAAGCATCTCAATTTTATCATTTTTCCTTTGAGTATGATTTTGCCAAAAAGTTTTTTGGACTTACCTTTTGTAAGGTAACGGATGCTCATTTTATTACTGGTTTGCAAATGGACTATTTATTTATTTATTATTTACTTTTGGAGACAGAGTCGCACTCTGTCACCCAGGCTAGAGTGCAGTGACACTATCTCAGCTCACTGCAACCTCCGCCTCCTGGGTTCAAGCAGTTCTCCTACCTCAGCCTCTCAAGTAGCTGGAATTACAGATGCCTGCCACCACGTCCAGCTAAGTTTTGTATTTTTTAGTAGAGATGGGGTTTCACCATGTTGGCCAGGCTGCTCTCAAACTCCTGACCTCAAGTGATCCACCTGCCTCGGCCTCCCAAAGTGCTGGGATGACAGGCATGAGCCATCTCACCCAGCCCAAATGAGCTTTTTAAACTTTGAATGAATATTAAATTGTATCAAGCCTATGATTCTTTTTCTGCATCTATAGAGATGAAAATATGCGATTTAGTTAGCTAAAATAATAAATGCAATATACATTTTTCAGTGTTGAACTAGCTTTTTGTTTTGGGGATCAGCTTCTTGGTCATGCCATGTTTTCTAAGAGGCATCGTTGATCTGAAGAAAGAGAATGGTAATTGATGGACAGTATTCTACAGGACGTGCCTCAGAACATTTCTAAATCGCATTTTTATGAATGTATGTTTATTTGTTTACATCGGAGCCTCAGGGCTGCTTGTGCAGCATGGTTGTATAGGAAGACAGAGCAGCCAGCAGCCAGTCGGCACAGAGACAGGTGATATGAAAGCTGGGATGGATTATTTCCAAGTTTAACAATGCCATTGATTTGTTGTGGCCGGGGAGATTTGTACTTGGTTGTTGTGAGACTTTCCTGCATCTTCACTCGAGCTTTTCTGCACACACAGGTTTCCCCTGCAGCTGATCTGTTCTGAAGGCCGCCAGCCTCAGAGCTCACACTCCACATGGGGTCTGCAAGGCTTGCGATTTCACTGTGAGCAATACTTGCTTAACTTTAGCTGTTTGGATTCCTCTCATATCTTCCCTCCCTCTTTGTGCCTTTAGAAGTAACTGAAATCACTTCTGGTTGCAGCATTTGTCCATCTCCCAACTCCCAGCCATGCCGGGAGAGGGACAGCCTTTCAAGGGGCCTTTGTGTTTCCCAGGGTTCCCCTGAGAACAGCGAATAGTGCAGGAAGTAAGGGAGCTCTGCCATCTCCCAGATGACCAGGAGAATCATCTGCCAGTGACAGGTTCTTCCTAAGGTGACTGTATCAGTCCGTTTTCATGCTGCTGATAAAGACATGTCCAAGACTGGGCAATTTACAAATGAAAGAGGTTTACTGGGCTTACAGTTCCATGTGGCTGGTGAAGCCTCATAATCATGGTGGAAGGCAAAGAGGAGCCAGTTACATCTTACATGGGTGGCACCAGGCAAAGAGAGAGAGCTTGTGCAGGGAAACATCACCTTATAGTAACCATCAGATCTCGTGAGACTTACTCACTATCACAAGAACAACACAGGAAAGACTTTCCCACATGACTCAATTACGTCCCACCGGCTCCCTCCCACAACACATGGGAATTCAAGATGAGACTTGGAAGGGGACACAGCCAAACTATATCAGTGACAGAAGATCTGCAAGAGCTGGTGGTGGGAGTAGAATGAAGTGCTCTGGAGACAAAGGCAAAGTAGTGCACACCTGCCCTGAAATTCAGGACCGTGGTCTCACCTAGAGGAAGAGAGACAAAAATAGAAAAGTTAGCAGTTCAAGGAAGATGTGCATGCAGAAATTAGCACTGAAAACCCACTGAACAAGTGCAGGGACAGCTTTAGCTGCATCTCAGAGCGTATTCTCTTTTCAGGGTCCCTGCTCCAGCAACCCTCCCCTCACCATCTCTGAAGTGGTAAATCAAGTACTTGGATGATGAACTTTTCAGTTTATTACATTTTCATATTACTGAAAAACACATCTATAAAATGGAACTTTGTTACAGTATCCAGAGATAATGTTAAATAATAATAAAGTCAAATAGGGCACATTCCCAATTCAATATTATTCTAGTTATAATGATTTATGGAAGTCGTTGTTTTGAGCAAAACTGCTTATTAAGTGGTACATTTTTATTTCCGAATAGACTGGTTCATAGCTATATGGTTAACTTGCATCATGGCCCCATAGCTGGTGCTGTGTCAGGATTTCTGTGTAAAACAGTTTGTCTAATTAAAATGTGATTTCAAAGCCTATTTGTTATTACTTCTATTATCTTCTTGTAGGGCTCTGGAATAACATGTTTATGGCTTCTGCAAACTCATCTAATTTAATATTTGCCTAGTAACCCAAATGTCCTCATTTAACAACTGCCCTTGGAAAGTGGGGTTTTTCCACGAGGCCAGCTAAATTTAACTAATTGTCACCGCGATCTTCCGCTCTGACTGGGTACATGAGCCCTTCCAGTGGTGAAATTGAAATTGCTAAATGCAAGTGGTTATTAATTTGTTCTCAGTACAAAGGATGCAATTATTCATCTAAAAATAAAGCTCTTAGAGTTGAGAGAAACGCAACGAATGGAACAAGTCCTCTGAATGTCATATTCTTCATTTGGATTTTTTTGAGCCAATCTTTGGAATGACATTTAGAAGCCAGAACTGAAATTATGAGCTAGCACGACCAAGTCTTTCAAAGGGCTGTAATGACTTTTACCAAAATTGTGAAATTAAGCCAAATGATGACAACATTGTCCTTTCCGTCTTTGGGATGTGGGGGCAGCGCTGCAGGGCTGAGCTTCTCCAAGGCTCACTGGCACACTCATCCTGGGGTTGTAGACCCAGTGAAGACCCTGACTCAGGGGTCCACAGAAGAGCCCAGGATTGTGCATTCCTCACAACATGCCCTAACGGTGCCGTTGATGTTGCTGTGAGCCCTGCACTTGGCATAATGGGGCTGTGAAACAATGGTCAAATTTTCACAGAAAGCTAAATACAGATTTCCACACCCATTTTTTCTTATTGCTTCAAATAAGAGGTTAAAGCATTTTAGATGGGGCACTTTAATAATCTGAGTGGGTACATTGGGTCTGAGGCATTGCAGTGCCAGATAACCATCTGACCTCATTAGTGACATGTGTTCAGTGATTTAAGGTGTATTTTTGGCTGGAACAACTGTGGACAAACCTGAGCTCCATGGCAGCCCACTGATGTGGGGGTGATATGGCAGCCACTACTATCTTGAGCAATCAATTATTATCAAGCTTTCAAAAGTTTTACTCAAACAGCATTGCAGTTCAAACCAACAGACTCTTCAGGAAGATTATAAGTGGATATTTAATGTAAATTTTCTTTGAGGTGATATAAGATGTCTTTAGTTAAAAATGAGTTCCATATGCATGTTGGAGAGTATGGCAAAACACACAGTTAGAAGGTGAGGGGTACCTTAATCTTGAGGGAGGAGGTGAGAGTAGGAAGGAAGGAAGTGTGCACCCCGCAGTCAGAGGAAGTGAGGATGGAAATGAACTCGGGCTGGATTGTGGGGCGCAAAGAAGGGAAGGAGAAGGCAAGAGTTACTTCATCGCTTACTCCTGAGAAGGAACATGATGCCACACACAAGGGAAACTGGTGAAGAGTTTGTTGGGAAATATAAAGATTGGATCAGGCTGGGCACAGTGGCTCACGCCTGTAATCCCAGCACTTTGGGAAGCCGAGGCGGGTGGATCACCTGAGATCAGGTGTTCAAGAGCAGCCTGGTCAACATAGTGAAACTATCTCAACTAAAAATACAAAAAAAAAAAAAAAAATAGCTGGGCGTGGTGGCACGCACCTGTAATCCCAGCTACTCAGGAGGCTGAGGCAGGAGAATTGCTTGAACCCCAGAGGTGGATGTGGCAGCGAGCCAAGATCGCACAGCTGCACTCCAGCCCGGGCAACAGAACGAGACTTGACCTCAGAAAAAGAAAAATAAAAAAAGATGAGATCAGTATTAGGTATATTGAATTTTCTTGATTCAGGAAAGGAACGATTTATCAATGCCAAAATCTTGTTGACAATAATTTTAGGAAATTAAGCCAATGTATGTCATTCCTGCTCCCTGTTTCTCCCTTTCTCTCTCTCTCTTTCTCTGCAAATAAATGTTGGGAGAAAGATAAATAATTTTATTTAAAATAGTGTGTGTGTGCTAGAATTGTCTTTTCTCTTTAGAGAGGCAGGGTCTTGCTCTGTCACCCAGGCTGGAGTGCAATGGTGCCATCATAGCTCACTGCAGCCTCAAAGTCCTAGGCTCCAGTGTTCTTCCAATCTCAGCCTCTGTGGGATTACAGGTGCGGACACCACCACATGCAGATAGTTTAACTTTTTTTGTAGAAGTGGGTTCTCCTTATATTTCCCAGGCTGGTCTGGAACTCTTGGCCTCAAATGATCCTCCCACCTAGGCCTCCCAAAGCACTGGTATTACAGGTATGAGCGATTATGCCTGGCCCAGAATTGTCTTTAATAAATAAATCATTCAGTTGTTCCAAATGCATTATATGCAGATGTATGAGATAAATGTTCTAATATAAAATCTATTTTTGAACAGAGATGAAGACACTTTCTCCATGATACCTTCCCTGTTTTTCTTCTTCTCACTGAGACAATCTAAGATATCAGAGCAGCAGAATATCTTATGTAGCATTCTGAGGGATGTAAACCTTGATGAACAGTTAAGCCCTCTGTCCTGTGAAGGAAGTCAACAACTGCAGTGTCAATCTTCACCCGGAAGCATGCTATATGAGGAATTACCAGTTAACCCACAATCTGCAATTATGGAACATTGCCTCCTCATTGTAATTACAAGCTCAGCTTAAGGGGCCAGCGTTACATGGCAGTGAAATACCCTAATTAGCTGGGATTAAAAGAACAGACAGAAAATTAAGATGTACAAGGACAGACAGAAAAAGACAAACTCTGCTCAGAACATTTAAAAAGTGGTTGACTTAGGTCCTAAATATCTTTTTGAAATGTTAACAGGGTTTGCTCATTTACATCCTACATTATCATACAGTGTGCTAATAAAAAGTCACTGTGACAGCTCTTTAATATTTCGTATCTGGAGTCACGTGATATAAGGATATAGGCAAAGAATAAGCTGTCTCCGATCGAGTTTATAAATGAACGGGTTCCCTAAGCCACATGGGTGTTATGTGGGAACACTTGCAGGCTTTATATAGAATAGGCACGTTTGATGCAATAAAAATGTTTATACTAGCTGGGCACAGTGGCTCCCGCCTGTAATCCCAGTACTTTGGGAGGCCGAGCAGGTGGATCACCTGAGGTCAGGAGTTCGAGACCAGCCTGGCCAACCTCGTTTTTACTAAAAATACAAAAATTAGCCAGGTGTGGTGGCAGGCACCTGTGATCCCAGTTACTTGGGAGGCTGAGGCAGGAGAATCACTTGAACCTGCGAGGTGGAGGTTGCAGTGAGCCGAGATCGCGCCACTGCACTGCAGCCCGGGCAACAGAGTGAGACTCTGTCTCAGATATTAAAAAAAAAAAGTTTATACCATATCATGTTGTACTTTCACGGAATTTCAAATGTATGTTGTTTTGTGGATCAATGGTGCTTAAAAGCCAGTGATTTTTGTGTTAATGATATACTATCTAATGGAATTTCATAAAGCCAAACTTCACGAACTCCAAACACTGAGCAGATAAAAGTATCATCCTATTTAATATGACAGTAAGGAAGAAGATTTATTTGAGAGCCATAAAGTTATAACTGAGGACACTAATATGTAATATTATTCACAGTGTAATAATAAAATACAGATGTTTCTATTTATCATGGCCTTCCCTTCTTGTTGCCATTTCCTAGTTGATTTCAAACAAGAATGCACAATGTGGGTGTTTGTAAGGCTAAGCTGGTCGTTTCTCTGCTGTTTTTCAGGCTTTTTGTTCTAATGGAGTAGAGAGCCTGAGGTCTTGTAGCACTAGCACTGAGACAGTGGCATCGGCAGGAGCAGAGCCTTAGCCCCAGGTGCAGGGAGCTAGGAGACCCTTGTTTCTGTTTGGGTCCAGAACGCAGCCCGAGCATTTTCGGGTCATAATAAAATAGCAGCCCTGGCTTGGACATGCATTTCACAGAAGATGGCAGCAGGTGGGGTAGAGCTGAGTTACCATGAACAACATTCTGGAATTGCTGATAGATATGTTGAATGGAACCTGAGCTCTTAGAATTATACAGCTGAAATACAAGAACATTGATGTTAGCATCAATAAAATTCAATCTCTAAATGAAAGGAGCCCTCGGATATTTACTTCACAGAGTTTTTATGAGGATAGCTTTTGATAGAAGCTGCAGGAGCCTGCGCGTCATCCGAGATGCCCACGGGGGTCTTCCTTACCTTCAGGTGGAATGCCACCCCAGGGACAACCCTCCTGTGGAGTACTTGTTCCTACACCTTGGTTGGCGAGAGTAAGGTCTGAGTGCCCAGTGAGGAGTCAGTTCTCACAAGGGAGTTTCCTTTTCCAAGATCCCACAGAGTTAGAAGCCTAGAGTGTGCCATGTGTTTGGATTGCTTTGTTTCATGTAGCAATACACATTCAGGGTTCTTCCATGTCTTTCCATGGCTTGATTGCTTATTTGTTTTTAGTACTGAATAACATTTTGTTGCTTGGATGTATCACAGTGTATTTCTCCATTCACTTACTAAAGAACTTTTTGGTTGCTTCCAGTTTGGGGAGACTGTACAAAGCTAAGATACTCAATTGTGTGCAGGTTTTTGTGTGAACATGAGTTTTTAAACCAGTTGAGTAAAAACCAAGGAGCACATGCTGTGTTGTATGGTGAGAGTATATTTAGTTTTGTAGGAAACCACCAAACTATCTTCCAAATTGTCTGTACCATTTTTCCTTCCTAGTTTCAATAAATGAGAATGCCGTTACTTCACATCCTCACCAGAACTTGGTGTCGTCCATTTGTTTTATGGATTCTGTATATCTATTTTTTTTTTTTTTGAGGCAGTCTCACACTGTCACCCAGGTTGGAGTACAATGGCGTGATCTTGGCTCACTGCAATCTCCGCCTTCCAGGTTCAAGCAATTCTCCTGCCTCAGCCTCCCAAGTAGCTGGGATTAGAGGTGACTGCTACCATGCCTGGCTAATTTTTGTATTTTTAGTAGAGATGGAGTTTCACCATGTCAGCTAGGCTGGTCTCAGCGCCTGACTTCATGATCCACCTGCCTCAACCTCCCAAAGTACTGGGATTATAGGCGTGAGCCACCATGCCCAGCTGGATTCTGTATATCTTAATATGTGGGTAATGGTGTCTCATTGTTTTAACGCTAATGACAAATGACGTTGAGAGTCTTTTTGCATGCTGATGAGCCATCTGTACATCATCTTTGGTGTAGTGTCTTTTAGATCTTTTGCTTATTTTATAACTGAGTTTGTTTATACCATCAAATTTTTTTATACTATACTGAGTTGGTTTATACTATCAAATTTTAAGAGTTCTTTGTGTATTTTGTATACAAGTTCTTTATCATTTCTGTGTTGTGTAGATATTTTCTCTCAGTCTGTGGCTTGTCTCTTCCCTCTCTCAGAGCAGAAGTTATTACGCTTATTGAAATCCAATACATCAATATTTTATCATGGATTGTGCTTTATTGTATTTTGGTGGATGATGAGTCCTCCGCCACTGTGTGTAACGATTGCATTTGCTCTTCTAGGTCCTTTGTCTTTAAACTTGGTATCAGTTTGTCTAGACACACATACAAAAGAGCTACCTGGGATTTACACTGAGTCTGTAGCTCCCGTTGGGAATGCTGCCACATTCCAAGGGCTCACACCTGCCATCCTGCTGCTCACCTCAGCCACAGCCTCGTAGAGCCCCATGTCTGGACTTCTGCCTGGAGATGAACTCCATGCTGATATCCAGTTCTTGAGGAGAACAGTGTGTTGTTGATGAGGACTCTTGGAGGACTTCCCAAGATGGATGAAAAGGTTCTTGTTTAGGAACCTCCAGGGCCCATGGTCATTGCCCTCTCCGAGTATAAAAGTCCTCTCTCTGGCAAGGCGCAGTGGCTCATGCCTGTAATCCCAGCACTTTGGGAGGCCGAGACAGGAGGATCACGAGGTCACGAGATCGAGACCATCCTGGCTAACACGATGAAACTCCGTCTTTACTAAAAATACAAAAAATTATCCGGGCGTGGTGGCGGGCGCCTGTAGTCCCAGCTACTCGGGAGGCTGAGGCAGGAGAATGACTTGAACCCGGGAGGCGGAGCTTGCAGTGAGCTGAGATCGCACCACTGAACTCCAGCCGGGGAGACGGAGCAAGACTCCGTCTCAAAATAAATAAATAAATAAATAAATAAATAAATAAATAAATAAATAAATAAAAGTGCTCTCTCTGAGGCAGCTCCTAGTCCAGCTGCGCCCGTTTTTCCCAGTCCTGATCCTACTCCGTGCCCTGCTAAGAAACTGGGAAGACCCCTGATAGCCTCTAGGTTCTCAGCCCCTAGAGGGGCAGCTGATGATTGACTGCACATAGACCTGCCAAAGAGAATTCCAGAGCCCTGGCTCCAAGCAGAGGTCCTCCCCATACCTGGTGCTCTAAAGGCAAACCGATGCAGGCGTTTCTAAAACAAATGAGCCCTGGGAGAGCCCTGAACGCATTTATTATGAGCCTCGAGGGACTGGGAAGCTGCAGAGACCCAAAGCTGTCCGAGAGGACTTGGGACTTGCTCTGCAAAAGACCTGGCCTCTGCTTTTTTGATGGCAGTTCCTAGCTGGATTCAGAGCTTCGATCTTGTTGCCCAGGCTGGAGTGCAGTGGTACAATCTCAGCTCACTGCAACCTCTGCCTCCCGGGTTCAAGTGATTCTCCTGCCTCAGCCTCCTGAGTAGCTGGGATTACAGGTGCCTGCCACCATGCCTGG
The DNA here is from genome assembly GCF_000001405.40 of Homo sapiens. NCBI lineage: Eukaryota > Metazoa > Chordata > Mammalia > Primates > Hominidae > Homo > Homo sapiens. The sequence goes on along the minus strand of NC_000010.11, from coordinate 2,376,593 downwards.
CTAATCTTTTGTATTTTTGGTAGAGATGGGGTTTCACCATGTTAACCAGGCTGGTCTGGAACTCCTGAACTCAGGTGATCCACCTGCCTTGGCCTCCCAAAGTTCTGGGATTACAGGCTTGGGCTACCGTGCCTGGCCATGTTCCATGTTTTTAAAAGGAACTTTCTGGCTACAGGGAGTATACAGTATAGCGTAAGACCCCACCGTGACAGTGACATCACTTATCAACCCTTTACAATCTGATTAGTCAACTACACAAATTACCTCAGTTAAAGATAGCATCTATTCCTTGAGGTAGATACATTTGCCACCTCTGTTTTAGATAAAGAAGTCAGGTTTAAGGAAGTTAACTAAAATTTTCAAATCGACAGACCTAAGATCAAACTGAATCCAGATGATTCTCAACTTAGAATGGGGTTATGACCAGATAAACCCATCCTAAGTTGAAAATACGTCATTAAAAAAGGATTTAATATGTTGAACCTACCACACATCATAGTTAGCCTGGCCTGCGGTGAAAGTGCTCAGAACACTTACGTTCTCCTACTGTTGGGAGAAACCTGGCAACACCGTGCCCTGGAGAGGATCGGTGTAGACCCTCAAGGCCAGCTGGCTGACCAGGAGCCGCTGTCACTGCCCTGTTCAGCACAGCCAGAGAGTATCACCCCCCACATCGTCAGCCCTGGAAAAGATCATCATTCAAAATCTGGAGTTTGGTTTCCACTAAATGTGCATTGCTTTTGCACAACTTAAAGGTGAAAATTAGTAAGTGTAACCATTGTAAATCAGAGACTTTCTATCTTTATCTTTCAACATCCTGAGTTTTTAGCTAACACAAAACCCTGTCTCAGGAAAGAGAATTAACAACTTTTTCAGTTTTCTTATATTAAAAAGTGTATATATTTTTTACAAAACCTATAAATTTTTTTCTAACACTATGATGGCCAAACATTTTCAATAAATATTGATTCCTCCCTCTTTTCTTTTATTTTCAACCAGGCATCTCCCCTCTTCTATCTTCATTCATTTTAACTCACCTCTGAAGTGGACTTTATACATTTAAATATAATCAGGGTCTGTCTTTGGAGTAAAAAATGATAAAAATACGATTTCAGAAGCAATAGGTATGATAGGGTGAAGACGTTTATAATTAACTGTACAGTTTCAGGATTTATCAGGCACAATCCTTCCATCTCTGAAAGAAGGAAGAGGCAAATACTGCTTCAGAAATTATTCTTATGTAAATGAGACTACACATGAATAAGAAGAAAGCAGCGTGTATATGATATTTTAGGTTCTTCAGTCAATGAAATAGGGCTTATTATTCATACCTTTTTTGGATCCTAACTTGTATAAACCAAATATTTAAAAAATACATTTATATGAGATAATTAAAACATTTGGACATAGACAGGCTCATGAATGACTTTAAGGATTCTTTTTAAAATTCTTTTAGGTGTGATAATGATATGATTGTTCTACTAATCAGCTACATATCATAATATTTTCAATTAGACATGCATAGAAAAGTATTTGTGGGTTAAATGACATGCTGTCCAAGGTTTGTTTTAAGTATTCCAACAATAGAAAAAAAGAGAGGGAAAGAAAGAAAGGAAAAAAGGAAGATGGGAGGAAGGGAGGAAGAGTGTTGGGGAGGAAGGAGAAGTATAGAGAAGTGTGGGGTACAATCCGTTAGATAAGACTGGGAAATGCTGGTGTCAATGCTGGATGATGTTTATACGTGAGCTCATTGTATTCTTCCTACTGCTTCTGTGTGTATATGAAACCATAAAAAGTTTAAATGAAACATATTACGCTGTAAACTAAGCTCTGGAATGGCTTGTGTTTTGAGTACTTAAGAGTGAAGCCGTCTGAATCCCTGCATTCCTTTTGACGGTGACGTTGTCCTGGCTCAGCACGAAGGCCGTTATGATAGAGCAGAGTAGATGTGCCTTCAGTGTGCACGTCAACATGCTGTAACACGCTGCACATGCAACATGTTGTAACACACTGCACATGCAACATATTGTATCACGTTGTAACATGCTATAACACGCTGCACATGCAACACACTGTAACACTCTGTAGCACACTATAACATGCTGAGCATACAGCACGCTGTAACACACTGCACATGCAACACACTGTAACACGCTGCACATGCAACATGATGTAACATGCTGTAACATGCTGCACTTGTAATATGCTGCAACATGCTTCACATGTAACACATTGTAGCATGCTGCAACACACCGCACATGTAACACACTGTAACACGCTGTAAAATGCTGCACATGCAACACGCTGCAACACACTGCATATGTGACACGCTGCAACACACTGCACATGTGACACACTGTAACACGCTGCACATGTAACATACCGCACAGCCTAGGTCAGGATTACTGTAGCAATGCTAATTAATGATGGCTTATAGGAGTTAATGGGACGTGAGAAGTCAATTTCAGACATTCAAAAGGCTGACTTCGACCATCATGGCTTCTGTACCTGATTAAGAGCTCTCCTGAGAGAGGGAAAGAGAGAGAGGTAACCAGAGGAGAGTCCCAAGGCCGTCTGTGCAGCAGCTGCACAAAGTAACACAGGGCCAGAGAGCTGCAACTTTGTGGGGAGGCATCTGCAGAAAGAAAGAAGGAAGGGAGAGAGGAAGAGAGGAAGGGAAGGAAAAGGAGAGACAGAGGCTGGAAGGAAGGGAAGGAAAAGGAGAGACAGAGGATGGGAGGAAGAGAAGGAAAAGGAGAGACAGAGGATGGGAGGAAGAGAAGGAAAAGGAGAGACAGAGGATGGGAGGAAGGGAAGGAAAAGGAGAGAGAGAGAGGATGGAAGGAAGGGAAAGGAAAGGAGAGAGAGAGGATGGAAGGAAGGGGAGGGAAAGGAGAGACAGAGTATGGAAAGAAAAGGAGGGAAAGGAGAGAGAGAGAGATGGAGATGGCCAAGGGGGTGGAGAAAAACAACTCCTTCTTCTTTTTTTCCAAACAGCGGAAAACCGATTCCAAGTCTGAGCAGGGCCTTCCTTCCTATGATACTAACATCCTTATGTGCTGAAAGAGAACTCTAAACACGAGTTGAGTTCAATTTTTAAAAAATAAAAAGGGGCCAAATTTTAGTCTCTAAGGTGAGTGTATTCCATGTAAAATAAGATTCAGGAGGTTTACAGTTCCACATTGCATTGAAATGACCCAGATTTTAAAGTGGAGATGGATATTTCATGAATTACTGATGAAATTGTCCAAGAACAAAGTGATGATAGCCTGCATATAAACTCTGTTTTATCCAATAATCTGAAGTTGCATTATTTACCTGCCTGCCTAAGAAATAAGTAGAATTCTGAAAGTCAGCCACAGGGCCTAACAATACTCCAATTAGAGAAGAAATGTTGTTTCTAGTCTAGCTCTGCGCTGGCAGTGACCACGCTGTGGTTCTAGGTCTGGGCTGAGGTAGGAGGTGTGTCTGCGAGAGAGTGGGCATAAAGTCATTTGCAGCTGCCACGCTTTCCCAGTGCAGAAGTGTCAGCCCTGGGATTCCAAATGACGTAGAGCACGGGGCCATTGCTCCTTTCCGCTCTGTGCTGGTGTGGGCGGTGTGTGTGCTCCCCAAACCAGACAGTTTCTTGTTCTGGAAAGAACACATGTGTGCTGCTTCATGCCCTGAACTGTGTGGAGATACTAATTCCCACTCTCCTCCCCCTGCAGACTCATAATTAAAGTAGAAACAAGGCCTCGTTGCACCCTCTGACCCGGATCCTGTGCCACAGTCGAGCTACGTTTCCTGACTTCCCCACTTTGTGCTTTTGGTTTCCTTAACTTTTTCATATATATATATATATTCATTATTTTTTTTTATTGAGATGGAGTTTTGTTCTTGTCGCCCAGGGTGGAGTGCAGTGGGGCGATCTCCACTCACTGCAACTTCCACCTCTTGGGTTCAAGGGATACTCCTGCCTCAGCCTCCCTAGTAGCTGGGATTATAGGCACCCACAACCACGCCCGGCTAATTTTTGTATTTTTAGTAGAGATGGTGTTTCACCACATTGGCCAGGCTGGTCTCAAACTCCTGGCCTTAGGTGATCTGCCCACCTCGGCCTCCCAAAGTGCTGGGATTACAGGCATGAGCCATTGCTTCCGGCCAACTTTTTAATTTTTTAAATAAACTTTTTTGAAAATTGTAGGGTAGGTATAAATTTGCAGGAAAGTTCAGATGATATTACAGATAACTGCCACATTTCACACCCACCAGCCTGTGTGACTAACATATTAGTATGGTACATTTGTCACAATCATGAATGGATATTAGTACATGATTACTAACTGCAGTTCATACTCTATTTAGTTTTCCTCAATTTTTAATTTATCTTTGTGCCATGTGACATTTACGAGTCAGGTCTCTTGGGCTCTTTGTGGCTGTGACACTTTCTTAGACCTTGTGGGATGACCTTGACCATCTGGAGGACTGCTGGTTGGGGGTTTATAGAATGACCCTCTGGAGGACTGCTGGTTGGGAGTTTATAGAATGACCCTCTGGAGGACTGCTGGTCGGGTTTATAGAATGACCATTTGGAGGACTGCCGGTCGGGGTTTATAGAATGACCATCTGGAGGACTGCTGGTCAGGGGTTTGTAGAATGACCATCTGGAGGACTGCTGGTCGGGGCTTATAGAATGACCATCTGGAGGACTGTTGGTCGGGGGTTTGTAGAATGACCATCTGGAGGACTGCCGGTCGGGGGTTTGTAGAATGACCATCTGGAGAACTGATGGTCGGGGGTTTGTAGAATGACCATCTGGAGGACTGCTGGTTGAGGTTTTTGTAGAATGACCATCTGGAGGACTGCTGGTCGGGGGTTTGTAGAATGACCATCTGGAGGACTGCTGGTCAGGGGTTTGTAGAATGACCATCTGGAGGACTGCTGGTCGGGGGTTTGTAGAATGACCATCTGGAGGACTGCTGGTCGGGGGTTTGTAGAATGACCATCTGGAGGACTGCAGGTCAGGGTTTTGTAAAATATCCTTCAGCTGATACTTGTCTGATGTTTCCCCTGTGAGTAGACTGGGAAGTCACAGAGATAAATGCCGTTATCATCACTTCATTTTGAGGGTAAGTACTATCAACATTCCTTACATGATTTCAATATTGGTAATCTGGCTAAAGTCGTGTTTTCAGATTTATCCACTATAAAGTTGGCCTTTGCCCCACCCATACTGAGTTCTTTGGAAGGAAGTCACTATGCACAGCCCACAGTTAAGGAGGGAAACGTTGCGTCCCACCTCCATGAGGGCCAAGAATCTACATAAATTATTTGGAATTCTTCTGCATGGGATATTTGTTCACCCTCCCTGAATTTAATAATTTATCTAATAGTTTCTGTATATCAGCAGGGACTCGTGGACGAGTGTGTGCTTAGGGTTATAATCCAATACGACTGCGTTCATGTTTTCACTCAAAATGTTTCTTATTTGTTTCTTTGAGAACTTCCTTACGTTCTGACATCACAAGATGCTCTGGGCTCATCTTATCTATCTCCTGCCCAACCATAGAATCAGGTGTTTCTCTAAGGAGCCCTGGTTCCTCTTACAGGAGAATGGTGTTAGAAATCAAGATTTGGGTGCTGAATGTGCATGTTGCCACTGCGGTGTTGCTGCTTTTAGGGCACTCAGCTGGCAGAGCTAAAGAATACACCCGTGTATACTAACCCATTTAAATAAGCATATGCATAAATGTTTCTATGTGTATTTAGTGCTATCTATATGAGGCCAAACATGAGTTTATACCAATGTCTGCAACTCTGTTCCAAGACCACGTTGATCGTTCTAGCCTGCTTTCTTTCCTCACTGGTAACCTCCTGCCTCCATAGTGATCATTCAAGTCCTGCTGCGTGTGGCCCATCTCCTTCAGGGCTCAGTTCCAGCACACCTGGATGTGGTTTTAAAAGTGTTAAAACTTATTTCCCTTGAGAAACAACTTTATCAACTAGAATACAGTGCTTATGTACATTTCTCAGTGTCTCCACTCATTTTCAGAGTTATTTATGTCAGCAACCTTTTCACTCATCCCCTTCAGTGAAGTTATTTTGTACATTTGTTATCAAGTTAAATTTTGTCATCGCAGTCTGCATTTCACCCTAGAATCTCTGGACCTCATCGTTTTGGGGTTATTTGTTGCTTCAATTGTATACATTGGGTTTCGTTCCTTTTTCTCTAAAGTTCTATGTGTTTTGATAAATGCATAGAGTTAACTGCCCATCATTGTGAAATGATACAGAATAGTTGCACCACTTAAAAAAAATATTTGCTTTGTCTATTCAATTCTTCCCCTCCAAAAACCACTTGTGACCACTGATATGTTTACCATTTCTATAGTTTTGCCTTTTCTAGACTGTCACATAAATCTCCTGATTTTTATAACTTTCTTCTTAAAGCAAAAAACAAAATTCTTTCCAAGGTTGAAATTATTTTAGTGATGAAAATGAATGTAATTACTCTTGAGTAAACCGACCCCATTTGGAATTGAGGAAGGTCATAAAATCTTGCATTTTTTTTCTTTCACATATTTCCTTTTCCTTTAAAATGTTATTATGAAATTTTGCAAACATATGCTTTCATTCTCTTATGCTGCTGATTTTGATAAATTTTGTCTTTATTTTTGGCACACTTCAATAGACTATTAACTAATTTTCTTATCTCAGATTCTTCTATCATGTTCACAATACTGAGATTAACTTTTTATAAGGGCAGTTTCAAACATGTTAATTCACTATTCAAAATTCTTCAGTGACTACCTATTCCTTAATTAGAAAAAATAAAGTAGATTCTAAATTTCTTTCTTTCTTTCTTTCTTTTTTTTTTTTTGTAGAGACAAGTTTTCACCATGTTGCCCAGGCTGGTCTCGAACTCCTGAGCTCAAGCAATCTACCCACCTTCACCTCCCAACATACTGGGATTACGGGCATGATCTGTGCCTGGCAGATTCTTTTTCTTTTTTCATTATTATACTTTAAGTTTTAGGGTACATGGGCACAATGTGCACGTTAGTTTCATATGTATACATGTGCCATGCTGGTGCGCTGCACCCACTAACTCATCATCTAGCATTAGGTATATTTCCCAATGTTATCCCTCCCCCCTCCCCCCACCCCACAACAGTCCCCAGAGTGTGATGTTCCCCTTCCTGTGTCCATGTGTTCTCATTGTTCAATTCCCACCTATGAGTGAGAATATGCGGTGTTTGGTTTTTTGTTTTTGCGATAGTTTACTGAGAATGATGATTTCCAATTTCATCCATGTCCCTACAAAGGACATGAACTCATCATTTTTTATGGCTGCATAGTGTTCCATGGTGTATATGTGCCACATGTTCTTAATCCAGTCTATCATTGTTGGACATTTGGGTTGGTTCCAAGTCTTTGCTATTGTGAATAATGCCGCAATAAACATTCTAATATGTTTCTATTCTGTTCCATGCTACAAATGATGGCTTAAACGATATTTGTGCAATGTATATATTACATTTTTAATTAATTTTATTATTTAATTAAGTAATGTGAGGTAGAACAATGAGAATTAAATTAAGAATTTCTAACTTTCCCTTCTGTGCCTTGATGTGACTTATTCTTTACTTACAAATAAAATATACTTTAGTTGATGAGCATGACATATTCATATTGAGGTTATTCTACATATAAAAGATTCATGCATGTGTAGCTACAATCGCAGTTCAAACAACAGAGGAAGTGTATATTTTCAGATTAAACAATTTAATGTAAGCCTGAAAAGAAGCAGTTTCACCAGTGTCAGAGAATATAATAAATATCTGATATTAGTGGAAATAGTTTCTTCCTCACTGTCTTTCTCTTTCTCTCTGTCTCCTTTTGGAATCCAGGTGCAGAAAGTTTAATATTAACCTGAATTTGATTACCGGACTCCTCAGTACTTCATTCGATGATGTTGACTTGGTAATTTGATTGCTATGCAGATGTGAGCTGTTCTGATTACATTAAAATACGTAAAGGAAATGAGAAAATATTGCCAGACAACATGCAAAAGGGTGCTGGGTACCCCGCTGCTTGCACATCCTCCAGAGGGAAGAATTTGAATGGTGATAACAGATGGGTCTTAAGAGTTCTTTCCTGTGAAGAGCATTCCCCCCATAATAAGATGAGGTGCCATCAATTCCAGACAAAGTGGTGAGTTTTCACAGAGATTGAAATCTTTCAAAAGTATCCCACAGTCTTATAAAAACACAGCTCATGGCAGTCCTCCTAGATAGGATGACAGTTCCATGGGCTACAGAGAGGGGAGCATATTATGAAGGAAGCTGTGGCCAGGACTCCATATCACAGTGACGTGGCCAAGAGAGACCCTGGAAACCGGGAGTGGAAGCCACACAGGCCACGGAGGAGGAGATCACCTGGGAGCTGGAGCCATGTGGGCCACGGAGGAAAAAAACAGGCCCTGAGCAGGAGACACACAGGCCACGGATGAACAGAACAGCTGGGAGCAGGAGACACACAGGCCATGGATGAATAGAATGGCCGGGAGCAGGGGCCACAGAGGAACAGAACAGCTGTGAGCAGGAGCCACGTGGGCCACAGAGGAGCAGCACAGCCAGGAGCAGGAGACACACAGGTCATGGAGGAGCAGAACAGCCGGGCTCACTCTCCAGGCAGGTCCAGCCAAGATGGAGAAGTGAGCAGGATGCTCAGGTGAGCTCTCTCAAAACAGAAGCCAGGGTAGGACGTGGTCTGCACCTGTTCAGCTGCAGCTGCACTGCCTGCAAGGTTGTCTCAGAGCCTGGGAAGCACCTGCACATGGCCTGGCTCAAGGCCACAGAGACAGAGACTTTCGACCAGTTATCATGGCAGAAAACTTCACCTTCCCAATGAATGTCTTTAACATTGGGAAGACGATGGGGAAAAACACTCGTGGCTCATTGTTTCTAAAAAACAAGATTAACATAGGTTGCCAGAAAAAGAAATAAGACACTCAATTAAATTAGATTCAGATACACAGTGAATAGTTTTTTAAATCGTAAATATGTTCTATGAATGCTGTCTGTTTTAGTCTGACAAACCTGACATTCTTAGATTCATGTCATCGATGATTTCCAATGTGGATTTCTAAGTAGTCCTTAGGAAAATTAGAACAATTTCCTGAGGACACTCACAAATCTTCCAAGCTACAAAGACACAGTCTTTTAAAACAGATGACTCCCAACAGAGAGCCAACAGAGAGAGCATTTCCTGTGGACCACACTTTGACTGTCTCCCGATTCTCATCCCCAGGCTCACAAGAGTGCGTACACTGCGGACTCTCCGCTTCTCCTTCTGACGCCCACATCCTGTCATGCTTCTTACTCACAACACTTTCCTTCTGCTGCTCATAAAAATCTTTAGTGGGTTTGGGGTTGTATCAAAGCCATTGACACTTAAATTTGAAAGTAATCAACCCATGTCATTTACTCCCTAGATCTACTTCAAAATGCTTGGACATATTTCAAAGACATCTTTGTAGGTTTCCTTTTTAATTCTTATTTGTAAATTGACTAATAATAATTGAACCTATCTGTGGGGTGCATAGCGATGTTTCAATCCATATAAAGTATAGTGATCAGATCAGGGTAATTGGTGTATACAATATTCACAACAATTTAAATTAGACTCCCATTAGTTCAGATGATCTGCTGTAAACAATCAGAAAACAAAGACTTGATACTCACTTATTAAATGTGGAAAACACAGCACTTATGAAGTACAGCTTCAGTGTATATAAATGACAGCTTTCAGTCTATTCTGAAATAATACATAACATGCCATTGGTATTGCTTGTTCCTGAATAATTCACACATCAGTTTTCCTGAGGTTGCAAATGACAGTGTCTTTTTTCTGAAACATGACAGGCAATTAGCCATTATCTAGCATCTAAATAGTCAACTTGCTCCCCAGAGTTTTTCTAGATTAATTCTTCCATTTAGCCTATAAGAAAATGGATCAAGATTTTTTCCTCCTTTGTAACAGAATTTATTAATAGACTCACTTTGTTTTTGACTGAGTATACATTTCCCCACTTTGAGAATTCATTATGTCTGTGTGGCCCAATATCACATTTCCTAACCACCTAGGACTGCTGGGCACTTGATGGATGGCTAGTCTGAATTGGGATGTGCATGATTGGAAATGCACACCAGACTTTAAAGATTTATAATAAAGAAAACTGAGTGCAATATTTCACATTGATTACCTGCTGAAATCATAGCATTTTTGAAATAGTGGGTTAAATGAAATATATTACTAAAATGTTAATGTGGCTATTAGAAAATTTCAAATGTATAAAAGCAGCTCACACAATATTTGTATTGGATAGTGTAGCGTTAGACAATTGGTTTTATGTGGGTAAGAGTTGAGTTGTTTCTTATATGTTTATATTCTTAGAGACTTGCTATTTATGTTTATATTCTTAGAGACTGTTCTTTAAACAGTAAACTACTTTCTCTATATCTCCTTCCTTACCTTTTGCATTTACTGTGAAACTTACCGAAATGAGGCCTCTGTTTTTATCAATTGCAATACGTCTGCTCAAAAAATATTCAAATTGATACTCACATTGGTTTTACAATGTGCGACCTTCTGTTTCCACCTAACAGATTTTTATACAGCACCGAGCCTTTCTCTCTTTGAGAAGTTCTACGTAGATTGTTTTTCTTTTATTTTCAATATTTATTTTTAAAATTGACAAATTATAATTGTACATGTTTATGGGACACAATTTGATGTTTTGATAATATCTGTGTTGCATAATGATCCAATCAGTTGTGGTTAGTGTATTCATCACCTCATGCATTTATAATTTCTTCCTGGTGAGAACATTCAAAAGCTTCTCTTTCAGCTATTTTGCAATATACAATGTTTGACTGTTAACTGTAGTCACCCTACTGTGAGATAGGACATGAGAACTTCTTTCAGGTTTGTCCATGTTTTCAGAAATCACCACCTTGCTCCAGTTAGAATCGCTATTATAAAAAAGACAAAAGAACATATGGCAGGGCACGGTGGCTCATGCCTTTAATCCCAACAGTTTGGGAAGCCGAGGCTGGAGGATCACCTGAGGTCAGGAGTTTGAGACCAGCCTGGCCAACATGGTGAAACGGTGTCTCTACTAAAAAATACAAAAATTAGCCGGGTGTGGTGGTGGGCGCCTTAGTCCCAGCTATGCAGGAGGCTGAGGCAGGAGAATGGTGTGAACCCGGGAGGCGGAGTTGCAGTGAGCTGAGATGGCGCCACTACACTCCAGCCTGTGCTACAGTGTGAGACTCCGTCTCAAAAATAAATAAATAAATAAATAAATAAATAAATAAATAAATAAATAAATGCATTAGAGGATAGTCTTCAGGTAGGAAGAAAACGATCCAAGGTGGAAGGAAGATAATAATTATCGATAGAGGGAGAAAATGAGTGGACAAATCTAAATGAATATTGATTACATGAGCCATTAAAATAATGCTTTGTGGGAACAAAAGTACATACAGAATGAAAATACATTCAAAACTGCACAGAAGTTGGAAGCAGATGATGATATTAAATGTTTGAAGATTTTGAATTATGTAGGAAGAGATAAATTATTTTTACTAACCTTTATACCTTTAGACAATTTTCTAAAAGAACAGATAATTAACAAGCTAAAAGAGCAGAAAATAGAATTACGAAAAAAAAAAAAAACTCCATCAATTCAAAAAAAAAAAACAAGGACAATTCAATTAGAAAAAAAACAAAGTAAAATCAAATAGCCAAATAGGAGAGGTAAGTAAAATAACTATTAACAATGGCAGCAAAGGCTGGAACATTGGACATCCACAAAGTACAACTGCTTATAAGAGGTATAGCCTTATACAAGGATTAAAAAAAAAAACATTAAAATACCAGGATGAAAAAACCTGCACTGTGCATTCCGTCCAAAAAAAAAGAAAAAGAAAAAATTACACTGATATCAGACAAATAATTCTTTAAGGAAATAGGCAATATGAGGGATCAAGAGGAAAAACAAAGACAAAAGTTTTAATTTCCCAGCAAAAACTTCTTTTCTCCAGTAAAAATCATTTTAATATTGTAATTGAAATTTGTAGGCAATAGACTAATTAATCTGCTATCCTGATGAGAGATAGGTGACTAATATAACAGAGACAAAATTCAGCATCATTGTAAAATATCTGATCATAATTAACATCTTATTGATGCATAAAAATGCTACACCTAACAACTCCACAATACATAATTTTCTCAAATACACAAAAGAGTTTACCAAATCCGAACACAGACTAGGAAACATATTAACTCTCTAATAATATCAAGTGACAAATTTATCTAGGAAATAGTTTCTACAGACAGTAGAATCAAACTATATAATGATACTACAGATATGTAATATTTCACAATTATTTCAACAATAAGCAATACATTTTTAAATAACATGACTGAAGGAGTAAGTTACTATATATAAGTGTGTAAAGATTACAATATCATAGTCTATTTTGAACTCAATAGAAATTAACCAAAATTATAACACTGATATAACCCAGAGTTTTTGTGAAAACTAAATTTTTAAATATGTACATTAGAAAAGAATCATTATTTATAAACAGATATGTCCGTATTGTTTTCAAAAGCTGTGAAGAGAACAGTGAATTGAACCCGAAGAAATTGCTACACTTGTGAAAGGAAGAAGACAATTCATTTTTTTCACCCAAATAATGCAGAGAAAACATTTGAGAAAGTTAAACATAAACTTGTGACAAAAATCGACCAGGAATTAAAGTACTGTGATGGGGTATTTAAAAATTTATAGCAACACTAATGCTTAGCAATGAAAAGCTGAATTCCTTGAGGTCAGGAGTTCGAGACCAACCCGGCCAACATGATGAAACCCCATCTCTACTAAAAATACAATGAGCCAGACATGGTGGCATGTGCCCGTAATCCCAGCTACTCGGGAGGCTGAGGCAGGAGAATTACTTGAGCCCAGGAGGCAGAGGTTGCAGTGAGCCGAGATTGCACCTCTGCACTCCAGCCTGGGTGACACAGCGAGACTCTGTTTCAAAAAAAAAAAAAAAAAAATACACAGTTTAATTTTAACATCAGGCAAAACTAATCTCTAGCTAACTTTGTAGATGGGTTGGGAGATGACTGACGGAAAACATCAGGAAACAGCTGATACACTACATACTGATCTGTATAGTGTTTGCACTCTGTAATCACTCAGACAGCTGTATAGCTTATTTGTGCACTTTTCTGCATTTATGCTAAATGGTATTTCATTTTTTTTCTTGAAGAGGAATGAATAACATGTTATTTTTCCATTTTCCTCAGGGCTAAGATCCTCAACAATTTTAGCTGGGAGGCTGTATTTTACAGCGTTTCTGAGCACATTCTTCACAGCTTGAATCCCTGGATCCAAAGCCCTCCACTGTGTGATCTTAGGCAGGTTAATTAATATTTATGAGCTTCAGTTTTCTCAGCTGTAAAATGGAAAGGATAATGTCCATGTCATGATTTTAGCAGAGAAGGGCATGTGATAACGCCGCATTTGGACCTTTCTGTGTAAACAGAGCAGGGCATTTGTTAAGCATGACACTTTGGTAGACTGTTTTGTGATTTAATCCTTAGACGTATTTTATTCTCATCAGGCTATAATCTTGAACATATTTAACTATTATCAATTCTCATGACCTTTTCAGTATAGTAACCTTATCCAGGAGTAATTATGTAAATGTAATTATGAACATTTGAAAATTAAAAACAAATCATGGGTGCCAGCCTGCCTTTTTATTATTTGCAATATTATCAAAGTTCATTGGATAAATGTGTGTACTTTAACTTTCCATTTTTGATTTATACATTTCTATCATATAAATGAGAGTCAGAAATAAGAGAAGCTAATTTCCTCCCTTTATTGGTTATTATTTGGTGTGGGAGTGGCAGTGGCCTCCATTCAGGAAGCAGCGCACGGGAGCCTGATGGAGGCTGGGTGGTCTCAGCCCCCAGCAAGGTCTGTGCCCGGCGAAGGGGCCGCCTGGCCCCAGCGAGCACCGGCTTTGTTGGTAACTTGCAGAGTCTTTATGTGGTTCATTCAGATCCTGTGCAAGAAATCTAGGTAAACACACTCCCTCTCTTGCTTGGATAAATTAAGATTGTTTTGTTTTACATGGCAAAGGGTACTTCCTTTTCTTCCTCACTAGTGAAAATACAGTAAAGTATCACCTGTGTTAGTGAACAAATGCATTAGTAGTGGTATTATTAGGATAATGGAGCAGCCAACAACCCAGCACAGACCCTGGGAACTCAGATTAATTGCTACAATGTGCCCACTCACCACTCGACTTGGTGTGAGTTGAGGGTGCTGTAGATTCTGTTAAGAGAATTTTGTCAACCTACAACAGAAGCAAACAAGGCAAGTAAATATCAAGGAGCCAAGAGAAAGGAAAACTCAGAGTGTCCTGAGAGAAGAGAAGGTAAGAATGACAGAATGAATGTGTCTGTAAGACTGACTTGATTTGGGAAACCCCGACCCAGACTTGGGTCAGTGATGCGGCCACTGAACTTGCAAAGTGGGGATGAAAGGCTGAGAAAAATGAAAAGCAAATGTAGTCAACTTCATGATGTTACCTAGGATCAGCCCTGGCTTTGCGTCTAAGGCTTTCGGGAAAGACATGGAGCATTAAAATTACCAATTATGAGCACACTTTAAACCCTTCCAGAAGGCCTTTATGATTACACACATGCAGGCAAACTTTCTAATTGCTGCTATGGGATCCTGCGATGTCTAATATTGTATTAAACCACGGTGCTAGCATTTTAGTTACTTATGCAAAAATCACATCTGCAATTGATAGAAATATTTATCAGTGTGTTCACTAAAATGAAAATGCACTGAAGCAAGTAATAACATTTAAAACAAATAGGAAAGCTCAAATGAAAATGAAGCATTTGAATAATTACACAGTGTGTAGTCCAAAATAAATGATATCAAAATCCACTTTTGTTTCAAATCAATAACACTAAAATGTGACAGAATCTTGATGATACTGTATAACAAAAATTTAAACCATCAAAATATACTTGTAAAACATTTCCAGACAATGGGATACTTGCTATTCTCCTTTTGCACAAAACAATTGGCTCCTGGAAATGATTATTTTTTCCTTCATAGTTTATTATTACATATAAGTCATACATTCTGAATTAGGATTCTAGTGTTTCAGATTTGTGTTTTTAAGGACTGTAGTGATTTATTATACGTTCACATTGTTGTAGTTTGCTGAAGATATTCCCTGAGTGTTGTGAAGTCTGATGCAAGATCAAATACTCTTTGAATTTATTTGTTTCGTTAAATTTAGGATGTTCACAACCATATAAAGGTCCTCATCTTGATTGTGGCTCCTAAAGTGCCTTCAGCAACCTCAGGTTTGTGATTTTCTGCATTCTAATTATGCCCTCTTTCTTTTTTGTTTGTTTATTTATTTATTTATTTTGTTTGAGACAGAGTCTCACTCTGTCGCCAAGGTTGGAGTGCAGTGGCGCAATTTTGGCTCACTGCAACGTCTGCCTCCTGGGCTCAAGCAATTCTTGTACCTCAGCCTCCCGAATAGCTGGGACTACAGGTGCACATTACCATGCCTGGCTAATTTTTTGTATTTTCGTGGAGATGGGGTTTCACCATGTTGCCTAGGGTGGTCTCAAACTCCTGAGCTCAGGTGGTCCACCCACCTCCACCTACCACAGTGCTGGGATTACAGACATGAGGCACGGTCCCCGGCCCCCTCTTTCATTATTTTAGGCAAGCATCAACAAATTTATCTTAATTCATCCAAGACATTGCAGGAGGCTTCCTATTTTGTTTTAACCAACGTGTTAAGAATCACAGAAAACAGACACAAAAGCCCAGGCTCCGTCTTCATTGTCCAGCGAGGTATTAGTCTGTTCTTGCACTGCTATAAAGAAATATCTGAGACTGGGTAATTTATAAGGAAAAGAGGTTTAGTTGGTTCGTGGTTCTGCAGACTGTACAGGAAGCACGATGCTGGCAACAGCTGAGTTTCTGCAGAGGCCTCAGGAAACTTACAACCATAGCGGAAGGTGTAGGGGGAGCCAGCACTTTACATGGCCAGAGCAGGAGGAAGTGGGGGAGTGCCACACACTTTTAAACACCAGATCTCATGAGAACTCACTACCTTGATGATAGCACTAAGGGGAATGGTATTCAACAATAAGAAAATACCCCCATGATCCAATAACCTCCCACCTGGCCCCACCGCCAACACCGAGGATTACATTTCAACATGAGATTTGGGTGGGGACACAGACTTAAACCATATCATAGGGAAAACAAGCTTTTCAGTTTGTCTAAAGAGATCAGGGGACTAAATATCAACTTTCAGATATTCATTTTTAGCCTCAAAGAGACTTTGGATTTCAGAATTTTGTGAAAGATTCATGTATTATTCTGGCATGGAAAATAGTGAAACAAGAATCTGAATGTCAGTTTCAGGGTTTCAGAGAGCCAAACAGACCAGGTCAGTTCAGAGGCTAGACCAGAACAGAGGTGGGAGGCTAGACCAGAACAGAGGTGGGAGGCTAGCCCAGAGCATCCCACGGGAGGGAAGCACAGCCACTGAGGCCTGCAGAAGACACAGCAGAAAGCGAGTGAATGTGGACAGGGGTGTGGAGCACTTCAGCCTGGCCCCGTGGCAACGTGGGCATTGCACATCCATCCCAGGCTGCCAGCCTTGTGACCACCGTCCATCGGCAATTCCCCATCACACCACCTTCCCCTTACGTCGTTATTTGTTCATTTCATCAAGGGCTCTTAGAACTGTGACAGTGCTGAATAAGTCAACACATTCATTATCTCGTATGGGTGCAGTTACATCATCCCCATTCCTCAGTGGAAGCATTCGAGACCCACAGACCTTTCCTGGCTGAGTGTGACGGCTGAGATTCCAGAATCCTGGTTTGAAAAATAGAGCCTACTGTGCTTTCCACTGTGACACAAGTCACAGCTGTGGACTGTCTAGCCTGGTGAATGCCAGCTAGGAATGTGGCTGTGTGGTTTATTGGGGCTGCCTTAGCAAAGTGCCTCAAAGTAGATGGCTTGAAACAGCAAGAATGGTCATCTCATCACCTGGAGACCAGGAGTTGGAGACGCAGGTCCCAGTAGGCTTGGTTCCTTCTGAGCGTGTGGGGATGCTCTGTCCAGCCCTCTCTGCTGGCTGCCTGTTCTCTGCCCCCAGCCCTTGGTGCTCCTTGGCTTGCAGACACACCATTCCCATAACCCATCTTCACTGTGCATTCTTCCTTTGTCTCTGACTCCGTGTCCAGATATCCATTTTCGTGAGTACATCAGCTGTATTGAATTAGGGCCCAACCTAATAATCTCATTGTCACTTAGCTCTATAAAGAATGAGGTCACATTCTGAAGTCCTGAGGGTTAGGATTCCAATGTGTCTTTTTTAGGGACCAATTCAACCCATGACAGTAGCTCTTCCAACTCCAGCCCCTAACAGTGTTGAGTTCAATATACAACCACAAGTGGTCTTAATGGCAGTAAAGAGGAATGGAACGAATTGCTTGGATTTTGAACACACAAGTGCAGGGTTCTGTGCAGCACGCACACTCACTGCATGCACACCATGCTTTGGAGGCACTCACCTGTAATTTAGTTTTCAGTTCTCACCTCCGCCTTTGTGGTTCTCTCCTCCCATCACAGCTGTCTGGCACTGTGTTCCGGCCAACAGCCCTCGCACCGCTGTGCCCAAGAGCTGGGCTGCTCCCTGACACGCTGCAGCTCCACGCAGGGCAGTGCTGGGTGCCACCTCCACGTACCCCAGAGGTTCTTCTTGCACAGGACACAGGAGAAAGTGCCTAGGCTAGAAAAGTGTGAAAGGACTTGGGCTTCAGGATTGGGGCTTATTGTAGATGGAGGGAATGGCATGTATTTTGGGGGTACACTACAAGTGACTCTTCTCTAAACCCAAAGACTTTTCTCTAAACAGCATTCAGTCAACCAGTGTCCAGCAATGCTGGCCGCAGAGCCGTAGCTGGGGCTGGGGTGTGGTCCCTGCATTTGTACATTGAAATCCTAACCCCCAGCCCCTCTGAAGGTCATTGTATTTGACAGTGATTATTAAGGAAAAATAGGGTCACTAAGAAGGGCTCTAACCCAATATAAATGGTGTCCTTAGAAGAGGAGATGAAGACACAGACGCACACAGAGGTACGATCCTGTGAGGACACAGAGGGAAGATGTGGTCCACAAGGCATGGAGAGAGGCCCCAGGAGGAACCAGCCCTGCCCACACCTTGATGTCACACTTCCAGTCTGCAGAACCATGAGAACACAAATTTCCATTGTTGAAGCTGCCTTTCTGAGAACACACATTTCCGTTGTTGAAGCTGCCTGTTCTGTGGTGCTTTGTTACGGCAGCCCTGAAAAACACACACAGGCAACTTTCGTCCACACAACAGTCCAGTCACAGAGTCCTGAAAAACACACACAGGCAACTTTCATCCACACAACAGTCCAGTCGCAGAGTCATGGAGTTCTAACCATATGCAGGAAATAGATTATTCACCTGGGCTTGCAATTTTATTAGGGACCTTTGCAGATGAAAAATGAAAGCTCAGGGCCAAAAGTATATCAGATTGTGATCAATGGTAAGCAGCCACATGGTTTTTATATTACATTTTGTTTTACTCGGTGTTTAAAAATCTGAGGCCAGGTGCCAAGACTCACTCCTGTAATTCCAGCACTTTGAGAGGCCGAGGCAGGAGGATGGCTTGAGCCCAGAAGTTAGAGAGACCAGCCTGGGAAACGGGGAGACCCTGTCCCCTGTCTCTGCAAACAAAAAACAAAACAAAACAAAACAAACAATATATATATATATATATATATATATATATATATATATATATATATATATACACCTGCGCCTCAGTTTCTCTAGCTGTAGAATGAAGCTAATGATTGGTGTTGCTTAACCTGGGCTCTGCCTGTAAGGCAGATTCCCAGAGCCGTGCAGGAGCATTTCAAAGCCATGGAAGGGATTTCACAACCACTCGTCATTTTCAATGGTGGGCAGTGTTTACAATACAGAGCCATATAATAGACAAAGATAACAAATGTAATCTCCATGCCTCTGGAAGTGGAGCCTTTTACTAACTATGAAGATCTACAAAAAATAGATATAACTTTTAGCAGTGGAAGATTTTTTAGACACTAGGAATAAAAGGATATATGAGAATCTGCCAATCAAGTGGTGGATATGAACAGGTAAGGAACAAAAGAGAATATCAATATAATGGAATAAGCAAAGGAGATACAGCACCTGTTCTGAGGGAGTTCAGTGAAACATGTTTAAACAAATGTAGGGATTTAACAGCTTCCTGGATGAGGCAGTGCTTGAGAAGGATTTTGAGGGATTTTACCAATAATTTAGTGAAGAAGAGTGAGGCTGCTCTAATTGATGATGAATTCGCATAAATGAAGACAAGGAGCTGAAAAGAAAAATGATCAAGTGTTGTGTGCGCAGTGAAGGATCAGTGATGATACTGGATTGAGTGCAGGGAACATGGCAGGAACAATAGGAGATGGCGAAGAAGGTGATGTGGGATGGATTCTACAGGCCTTTTGATTATTATCTTATTTTTTTATTATTATTATATTATTATTATTATTATTATTATTATTATTATTATTTGAGACAGAATTTCACGCTGTCGCCCAGGCTGGAGTACAGTGGCAAGATCTCAGCTCACTTCAACCTCTGTGATTCTCCTGCTTCAGCCTCCTGAGTAGCTGGGATTACAGTCACCCGCCACCACGCCTGGCTGATACAAACTTTTGTTCTATATGCATGATGTTGGCTTTTGTTTTCTGTCATAATTAGATAGCTCGTTAGAAACAAAATTAAAATTGTATTCAGGGTATTTTAGAACACCCACTGCCAGGGCATCTTAGAGGAAGGAACTGAAGAGATGAAACTGGGATGGCAAGGTTGGGAATGACTAGACATCAGAGGGATCTGATGAAATCTAGGAAGATCATGGGTAAGACTTGCTGTCTGCCGAGACGTGGGGTTGGGGAGAGGAGGGTGTGACGTTGGACTCCGAGGACTCAGTGCGCCTAAAAGAGCAGGAGTGCCTGGATGGGAACACATGGTTCCAGGGAAGTTGTTTCAGAGTTGATTTGAAGGCAGCGGGAAGACCAAGTGGGGCTTCCAGAGGGCCGGGGAAACATCCGTAAGTCTGCACTTCTACACCACGTTAACTTCCTAAGAGCCTTCTTGTATCCCGGGAGGTAGGGGCACAGTAAAGAGTGCCCTTACATCCCTCCCTCTTAGCTCTAGAAACACACCTAGCTCCTGAGTATGGAGAGTAACGTCCATGGCATTGAAAAGAAACAACACTGGTGATGAGAAGGAGGAAGAATTGCCCGTGTTCGAGATGAGGCTCTAAGTGAGCAGAGGCAAAAGGTCAGTGTCCCACGCAATTTTGCAAAATATAAACCCCCCATACTTAGCACAATTTTATTGATAAGCCTTCTTGGTTAGATAACCTCTGATAATGTAATTTTACAAGTTTTCATCAAATTTTATCGCACTTTCCATAACATTTTCATGTATCCACCAAAACCTATGCAGAACTGTCGTAGTTTTTACACAGTTCTGCTAGACAATTTTAAGAATAAAATAAAAATACATAAAACATATACATGCCCTCATGGAATGTCTTCTCCAGATGACAATTATACATAAAAAGTTGGTGAACATCAAAATGCAAGCTAAATTCCAATAAGTGTTACACAGCCTCCAAATTCTAAAATATTTGAAGAAGGCGGAGCTTGGTGAGAGGTGTGAATGTCAGGAAAGGTGTCATGCAGCGGTGAGGTTTCACCTGTGCTCTGGAGAACAGGCAGGGTTTGGGGTGGCAGAGGGGAAGGTTCCATAGTGGCAGAATGTGCTGGATAAGGAGGGAAGGGAGGCTAATTTTAGGGATTTATAATCTCAGTTTTTCTTAGTGCTTTTCTGCCCTGAGCTGGAAACAACACAGAACATGTCCTCTATTCTACTAGTCTTTGGAGTATATATTTTTTCCTAACCTACCAAGATAAATTATTTCTTAGTCTTAGATGTTATTCCCACCTCAACCACATTGCACTCCATGTTGACATCAATTTTCAGTTTTAAGAAGCACTATGTATTCTGGCTTTGAGTAGACTGAGAGCTCCACAGCTCTGCCTTTGACTAGGCTGTGGACTCTGGGGAATTAACATTGGAAAGTTGATGTCCAATGTCATTAATTCTGCATTCACCCTCTCCCCAAGGTAAGATGCATGCAGGGACTCAGGTTAGAGCATAGTACTCGAACCCATATCACAGATACCATGTCTTAGAGATTGCTTGAGCTGCCTTGACTGATGCACTTGAAGAATGAATGGACCAAAGAGTTGACCTTTTCCATTGGAAAGCTCTCAGCTGGGGGCTTAGATGGTGAAGCAGACCTTTCTGAGACTTTCTTTTCTGGTCTATATTTTGTAATTTCATCCATGTTAATAATTACTTATCTGCAATTCCAAACGCCAAATACTTTTAAAAGTCAAAATTTTCACTTTTCATAAGTTGAAGCTCAAACATTTTTACACACAAAACTTGACCTGAAGTGACATGAGGCTACGTTTCCTCTTTAAAAGAAAATCTTAGTGTAAATCTTCTTTGTAAATTTCACTGCCAGTTTAGTCTGTGTTTGATGATGTGATGACACTCTGTGCTGGGGTGTATGCATATTACTATCATTATGAACTTTTAGACAATGGGTTGTGAAAATTCAAAACTGTCTTGTATTACATTTCTTGAAATAATATATGTTAGCAGAGGTAAAACTGGTAGAATCACTTGAACTCAGGGGACAGAGGTTGCAGTGAACCAAGATCACGCCACTGCACTTCAGCCTGGCAACAGAGTGAGACTCTGTCTCAAAAAAAACAAAAAAACAAAAAAACAAAAAAAAAACACTAATGCAAGGCAAAAAAATGGCAATTATTCAGAAAGGGATGTGTGTGTGTGTGTGTATATATATATATATATACACACACACACATATATATACACATACTATCTATCTATATATATATACACACATACATATATATATGTATATACACATACATATATATATGTATATACACATACATATATATATGTATATACACATACATATATATAAGTATATACACATACATATATATATGTATATACACATACATATATATATGTATATACACATACATATATATATATGTATATACACATACATATATATATATGTATATACACATACATATATATATATGTATATACACATACATATATATATATGTATATACACATACATATATATATATATGTATATACACATACATATATATATATATATATGTATATACACATACATATATATATATATATATGTATATACACATATATATATATATAGTCCCAATATTTTATCTCAAGGATTGGCATCAGAAAAAAGATACATTTTTAAAGAAAGGCAACAAATTAAAAAAAAACACATTACTTAATCTTAATGTCTGTAATCAAATGACAGGATATTACTAAATGCCAAAGCAATTCTAATTAAACATTTTGAAATATATTTTTATAGAAAGAAGAAAAGTAATAACTATATTAAAAGTTTGAATTTTAAATAATATATTTTAAATTTTGAAAATATTGATAAGTAATATCAAAATAATGCTATAAATGTGTGCAATTTTAAAAACAAAATTATTACTTATATTCAGCAATGATTTAAAGAGAGAAATTTGTGTTTATATACAATACATATTGATTGTTTTCAGGAGTTTAAGATTAACATTAATGTAACACTTTTGCTTCAGACAATGGAAAGTTCTAAATTTTAAAACTATGAGCCCATTGGTTAGTCTAATATTCTCAGCCAGGATACCACCTGAGGCACCCAATATACTAAGGCTCTGGGCAATCCCTAATTAAAGTTAAGATAAATGACAAGTGTTTGTATATTTTAGTCATTGTCAAAAGGTCATCTAATTGTAAAAATGCCTTATATATATAAAAATAAAGACAAGATAATGGGAAAATGGATAATTACCTGAATATACAGTTCATAAAAATGATATTAAAATGGTCTATAAATATATGCCAAGGTGCTTGGTTTCATGAATCATCCGGGAAATGAAAGTTATAAACCTCAGATACCATTGCATACACCCCAGAAAAGCTTCAGTGAAAACACTTAAAGAAGATATGAGACAAACAGGAGCCTCCTGTGCAGCTTTAGCAAGTGTGATTTCAATTCAGCATTTGGAAATCTGTTTGTCCATGTCTAGTAGAACTTAACTTATAGATGCACTGACCCAGTCACTCCAGTCCTTGCTGATAACACCAGGAAGTAGAAGAATGTTCATGGCATCACTGTGAGAAATAGCTCCAACTGTGGCCTACCGAATGCCAGTTCACAGTAGGATAGATGGTACAGTCGACAGAATTGGGAACAGAAAATTTATAAGTAAACACAAAATCTCATGTGACTCTAATGAACAAAATATTGAAAGAGGCTACACGTTTTCAAAATGGAATACTATAGGGTTCCATTTGTAAAGATTCCAAAGCAAGCACAATCATCTATAATGTTAGAAATTAGGATGCTGGTAATTCTTGGAGGAGTTATGGAAACACAACAACTTCTTCGAGAATACTGGCCTCCTCTTTCCTCTACCAGGATTCTGGTTATGCCGTGTGATCATTTTACGATTATTTATCAAGATGTCTACTTACGATTTGTGTGTTTCCTATATGTACTTATATTTAAATAAATTAAAAAGTTATTGAGAGAGATTATGTGCTGCATGGAATGAGATGCCTTCAAAATAACTGAGTAACTTGTCAAATGTCATTTAAAGGTCAAGGCCATTTTTCTGTTTAATAGTAAGGTTGTCAAATGACTCTTTCTAACTGGATGTCTGTACTCTTATAACAGGGGCAAGAGAGTTTTCTCTTCCCTTTTCCACATTGTGACAATAACTGGGATCTGAGTAACTGAACTTTTATAGCTATAAAGATAGGAGTTAAAATATAATACGCTTATTTCTGTTAACTGCGTTTGTCTTCATTTCTAAGAACTGTGTCTTAGAAGTTTTTAGGTAGATTGCTGGTAGTATCACAACTTTACTGGAAAATCACTAACAAAAACCTCCTTTTGCAATTTGGTGCATGCTTTTCTGAAAAAGGCATTTTTAAAGACGTCAAGTCACTTCTCTCCTGTGTTTTTACAAATTTAAGCCAGTGTTCTTTCCTCCCAGGCATGTCAGTGATGCCAAGAGCAGAGGAACCTTATGACTACCTTGTTTCATCCAATATCTCTTCTTGCCTGTTCATCAACTATGTGTCATTTCTGTTCTCCCCAACGACTCTAGAAACGGCTCACCCAGTAAGTTTTCCAGCTTTGTCCAAGGTCTGCGGTCACACGTGTTTTCTGAGCGTCTGTGGATGTTTGTTGCTCCTTCGGTCAACTTATTGTGTTAGTACTGTGTAGGAATCATGATCAGCAACATCATCGTTGTCACCATAACTCAGAGACAAGAATGTCTCTCCCACTTTCGAATCCTTCCAACACATTCTTCATTTGTCCAGTACAGTCATGTACTCAAAGTACGAAAAGTGAAAGCAAAGCCGCACCACGGGGACTAATCAGACTTGTCGTTTGCAGTAATGCGTTGTGAAGGGCATTTCTTTACACGCCCCCTTTGAAGCCTCAGAACACGATTGCAAATGACACCTGTGACGTCCGGCAGCCCACCCCGCGCCTCGGTTCACAGATTGTGCTGGGAAGTGGGAACACGGAGGCAAATGGCAGCTCCCATCACTTAATGAGACGTTTATTAAGAAACTAGGACTGATTATAAGCTGCAAATTAGCCATAATGTAAGTAATCAGCAGAGATGTCACGTTGGTAGGGAGAAATGATAAACAGCACAATGCTCATCCCTGCGCTCATCAAAAAATACCTTCAGTTCATTACATAGGGTAATTTACTGGAATCCCAAGATGTAGATAGAGGCAGGAAGAGTGTGTCTCCTTTTTTTTCTAAAATGCGTTCATCAGTGTTGTTTTATGTTACATCAAAGTGGATTTTATAGGTACCTTAATCACACCTTTGAGGTTTTAAAATTTTACCTGAGAAGTATAGATATGAGTTATAAAGCATCAGTGGGCTCTGAGACTTCAGCATTTGCCAATCAAGTGAAATAAATAATCCTCTAAGAGGAGAATCAAAAATATAATCATGTTCAAATATTCCCAATGGCTATATCAACATAGTGGTCAAGAAATCACTATTTGCCATTGTAATGATTTCTAGATTATGTACATGCCCTCGAATAAGAATACAAAAGGAAGAGATATATAAAGTAAGTGGAGTGGATAAAATCCTAATTTCAGCACGAAAAGACTTGAGACTCACATCAAAGTGCTCGGGAATGACGGAAAATGTCACTGATCAGGTTTCTAATTTCATAAAACTCAATCAATACATTCGAAACGCAGATATTTTGCTTACTGAGGCTTGTGAGAAACCATTAGCTGTTCCCAAACAGCTTCCATCTGAAACATCATGTTATCTATACCAGGTAATTTTCCAATTTGTTTGCATTGTAAAGTTTCTCAAGATAAATATCCCATTATTTTCATTCCCCAAACCTTAGCACTTGGTTTCAAGCCAGAAACAGAAATAAATTAATAAATATACTGATGTTTACTATTTTGCCACTGCATTATGGATATGGAGAAAATAAATGTTTTAGTAATCACTTTACCCAGCTTTTTGCCACATTAAGTATGCACTCCTGGAAAAAGATTTATTCAGGTTAAACACTTCCCAACTGTTCCAGCCTAGAGCATATCAAATAAATATTGATATACTGAAAGAAGGAGAAAGAAACAAATAAATAAATACATTAATTAGGTGGACTGCTAATCACAGAACACTATCTTTCTTATAAAAAAAACTGCCAGGATCCAGGTGATAACTGCAATATAAATACCTTAAAGCAGACTGGTGTGTTCAATTATCTGGCATACGTTTTATAAACCTCCGTCTCTAGACATTATTAAATTATCACGTCATGTAACCCCAATACAAAATTTCAAAATTTCTCTTTGAATTAACTATGTGCTCACTGATCAGTATTTTCTTCCTTGGAGCCTCCTAAGCAAAATACTTAAGTGGTTTAATAATAAAATTACATATTTCTATAACGTTTTTAAATGACCATAACATATGGGGGGAATATTATGTAATAAAATATAGAAGACAGATATTTATATATTATGAATTATCTCATTTAAACTTGTATATATAAATAAAATCACATAATATCATATATAATTCTTCTTAAATAGTTTCCACCTTAAATCATACTTAAAAAACCTAAAGCCATCTATTTTATGTGTTTATCAGACAATTCCACATTTCGAATTTCTATTGTCCAAGAAAAAGTCCACATCACAAAGTAATTTTTGGAAAAAATGTGAATTTCTTTTTCGTTTTTATAAACAAATGTTATATGAACACCATGTGGTCCACTGGTAACAGTTAATTATAGAAAACCCACTAGAATAACTTGAGATTCAGAACATAAAAAATGTCCTACCTTATTGAGAATGTTCAAATCTTTTTATTTGAATATCTCCAAGTTGTACTGATAGCTTTATTTTGTTAAACTTGACATTGCTAAAATCACCCACATGTCAGTCATGTTTTAGGATGTACCAAATATAGGTGAAATTTCAGCTATGCTTCTACAACCATCTGACTTCAAAAACTAAACCTTTCCATTACCATTGGGGTGAGAGAGAGTTTTTAAAAGTGTGAGACATTAGAGAAGAGAACAGAAGCAGATTTTAAGAATCGGGGAACTTAAAATTAGGTTTTTAACCTAAGGATAAGGACAATGTCCCATCATGTACTTTTTTGACAATTGTCGGAAGAGACATTATTTTTAAGTGAGTAATACACAGAGATTAAGTTGGATGCAGGCTTCCATTTCATTAAACAAGAATAGGGCCCAAATATTTTTGCTCTTCATATTGAACTTCTAGAGATGTTTTATTCTGTTTCAGCCTCTGTTGTACTTATCATTAGAATATCTCAGCTCCTCAAACATTTTGTAAGCATCATGAT
The DNA here is from genome assembly GCF_000001405.40 of Homo sapiens. Classification (NCBI taxonomy): domain Eukaryota; kingdom Metazoa; phylum Chordata; class Mammalia; order Primates; family Hominidae; genus Homo; species Homo sapiens. Next base: position 2,349,318 of record NC_000010.11, on the reverse strand, counting down.
TTGAATTATTATTAAACCAGGCTCATTATCAACATTTTCCTTTATATACTGAGGTCTGCTGTTCCATGTCCTGTGGCAGAGCCTGTGGACAACCTCAATTCAGAATCCCATTTCTCATCTGCCGATAAATTTGCATAACTTCTCTTTTGTGAAAACAAGTAATCATCCTGTTTTTCTTTTCACATTATCTTGAAGACCATTGTACAGAATTATGCCTGTTCGATACATCAGAGAATACTCAGTTTCTTCTGCTTTAACAAAAATAAAAATTTTGGTTAAATGACAAAAACTTTTACTGAGTTTTTTTCATAAAGTGACAAAATATTTCAATGATATATGTCATGTAATGGTAACTTTTATAAATTGTACTGTAAAATATTAAATAAGATTTAGAAAATTAAAATGTTCTGCTCAATATTATATCAGAAATTGATCATCCATGTTTTCCCAATGAAGCTTGAAGGGTTGCCGGTGACCCGGAAGACACTAATATTGGCTCCTAGTCACTACTTCTCTTTCCATGACAATGGAAACATACTTCTGACTTCTGTGATAATTATTTTCTTATAGTTTTATTGTCTAAGCAGGCACCCTTGAAAAATAAATTTTTTGATATGTTTTCAAACTTTACAAAATAAATGCAAAGCATATTGTTCTTTTGTGTTTGTTTTCTTTTCCAGAACATCACATTTGTAAAACTCACCCACACAGTTGCAAGTGGCTTTAGTTTGCTCATCTCCATGGCTGTTTTGTAATCCATTGTGTAAACATACCGAAGTATTCATTCAACCGTAGATGGACATTTGCATTATTTCTAATTTGTGGTTGTTAAAAATAATTCTCTTATGCCCATGCTTGAATATATCATTTGGGACTCATAAGCACAATTAATGTTTGATATAGAGTGACAGTGGCATTGAAGGTTGATAGGCTACACTGATCTTTTCATTTAGCAGCTGATGAAAACCACTCTTTACACACTAATATCCATTTATATTCACATTAGCAGTGGATGACGGTTTCCATTGCTCCATCTCCTCAACATAACTTGTAAGCCTTACAAAGACTGCTCATTTTGATAAAGAAAGAGAGAAAGGAGAAGACACATCCCTATTCCTCCTTTCCTCTTCTCTTCCAAACTCACACTCGTTCTGTCTATTGCCTGAATCTATCTGGAAGCCATTGGCAAGGTGGCTTTGGCCATGCACTTTACTAGTGTCATCAAGGAAAACAGCAGATGAATATGATAGGAAATGGCTGACTACCTAGCAATCAGCTTTTTGTTTCTAGTGCATGTTGCAAACATCTTCTCTCCTTGTTTGACTTATCTTTTTAGCCAGTATAAAGTTGCTGTTTTTTGTGGATAAAAAATTTTAATTTTAATATAGTCACATTTCATTACTAGTTTATGATTAGTGCTTTTTGTGATCTATTTAAAATACTTTCCCAACACTGAGGTAATACAGATGTTCTCTTTTATAATCTTTGAGAGCTTTGATAATTTATCTTTTATATTTGTATTCACATTATGCTTTTTAAGTTGATGGCATATGGGAGGGTTTTGTTTTTCAAATTTTTCCTATGATATCAAGTTATACCATATTTTGATACCAAGTTTTTGCTTTTATAAAATGAATTTAGCAAGCACAGGTAATTTATGGAATTAGAAATGATTATGGTGATTGCTTCTTCTGGGGCAGTGCTGACATCTTACTTGCTGGTGAGTAACTAAAAGCTTTCCCACTAAGATCAGGAGCAAATCCAGGATGCCCCCACTGGCCACTCCTATTTGGCTTCTGATTGAGTACTAGACAATGCAACAAGACAAGACAAGAAAAGAAAAAGTATACAATTGGGATGGAAAAAATAAAATTGCCTTTATTCTCAGATGACGTGACTGTCTTTGTGGAAAGTCCAAAATAATCAACAATAAAACTGCTAGAACTAATTAGTGATTTTTAAAAGGCTGCAACATCCAGGCTAATATGCAAAAGTCAAACACTGTCTTCCATAACAGCATATAAATAATATATGAAATTTAAAATTAAAAATACAGTATCATTTACATTAGTATCAACCCACAAACAAAAATAAATAGCTATATGTCTAAAAAATATGTCTAAGATCTAGATGAGGAAAAGTACAAAACTTTGATGAAAGAAATTTTTTTTAAAACTCATAAATGTAGATTATTTTGTGTTCATAAATAAGAAGACTCCATATTATCAAGATGTCAGTTCTTTCCTACTTGACCTATACATTCAATGCAAGCCCAGTTAAAAGCCCAACAAGTTATTCTGTGAATATCAACAAACCGATTTTAAGTTTTATTCATTGACTTTTGTTTGTTTGTTTTTTGGAGACAGAATCTCGCTCTGTCACCCAGGCTGGAGTGCAGTGATGCAATCTCAGCTCACTTCAACCTCCGTCTCCCAGGTTCAAGTGATTTTCCTACCTCGGCCTCCCAATTTCTAGGATTAGAGGTGCCTGTCACCATGCCCAGATAATCTTTTGTATTTTAGTAGAAATGAGGTTTCACCGTGTTGCCCAGGCTAATCTCGAACTCTTGAGCACTGAAATGTGTTGTGAACGTGTCAAGTCTTCTCTCCTAGCTAATTTGAAATATAAAATGCATCATTGTTAACAGTAGTTACCGTATCCTGCTATCAAACATTGAAACGTATTCTATCTAACTCTATGATTGTACCTATGAGCCTACCACACACACAATTTTCCCAGCCTCTCTTCTCAGTCATTCTACTCTCTACCTCCATGAGAACAATTTTTTATTTTAAATTTATATGTGAAAGCAAAAGACCTAGAATGCTAACATGATGCTGAAGGAAAAGACCAAAGTAGCAGACCAGCACAACTTGACTTCAGGTCTTACAGTAATCAAAACGGCGCCATGTTGGTGACATAATAGAAAAATAGATTAATAGAGCAGAATAGAATGCCTAGAAATAAACCCACACAAATAGTCAACTGATCCTAGATGGCAAAGACAATTTAATGGAGCAAAGACAATCTTATCAACTAATGGTGCTAGAACAACTCAACATCCACATGCAAAAAAAAAAAAAAAAAAAAGATTCTACACAAAGACGTTACAACCCTTTATTGAATTAACTCAAAATGTATCATAGACCTAAATATAAAATACAAGACTATAAAATGTGAAGATAACATAGGAGAAAATCTAGGCAACTTAGTTTTGAACACAACATCCACGTCGTGATTCATGAATAAAATACGTATAAATTTTGGTAAATTGGACTTTATTAGAGTTAAATGTTTTGCTCTGCAAAAACACTGTTAAAAGAATCATCAACAAGCCACGGACTGGAAGATAATGTTTGCAAAAGACATATCTGATAAAGGACTGATATCCAAATTGTATTATACAAAGAACTTTTAAAGCCAACAATATCAAAATCAACAACACAGTTTAAGAAGAGCAAAATATCTGAACAGGCATTTAAATAAGGAAAATATACAGATGGAAAAAATCATATAAAAAGATGCTCAAAATCATACATCTTTAGTGGATTACAGGGTAGAACAACAGTGAGCGAGCACTCCACACCTGTTAAATGCTGAAAAAGCCAAAACATTGACGCCACCAAATGCTGGGGAAGTTGTTAAGCAGAGGGACTCTCACTCATGGTTGGTGAAAATTCAGATGATATAGCCACTCTGGAAGACCTTTTGCCAGTTATTTTGCAAAACTAAATGTACTCTGATTTATGACCCAGCAATTGTCCTCCTTTTTATTTACCAAAAGGAGCCAAAAACTTATGTTCACACACAGAAAAAAATCCCTACATTGAATGTTGATAGCAGCTTTATTCATAGTCACCAGAAACGGAAGGCAATTGAGATGTCCTTCAGTAGATGTTTGGATGAACACTTTCTCTAGTTTCTTAAGGTAGAAGCTTTTATTCTTGATTCTTTTAAGTTTTTTTCTCTAACATGTGCACTTAATGCTATAAAATTCATTTCAAACTTGAATTTCATTGCATTCAACAAATTTTGACAGTCTTTTAAGTTTTTATTCAAATATATATAAATTTCTTTTGAGAGTTCTTCTTAGGTTCACATATTATTTAGTGACAACTAGCTTACTCTCCAAATATTTTTGAATTTCTTGCTATTGTTCTGTTACTGATTTCTAAATTAATTTCATGGTGGTCTCAGAGTATACTTTGTATTATTTTTTTCTTTTGAATGCGTTAAGTTGTGTTGTATGGCCCAGGATGCAGTCTCTCTTGGTGAACGTTTTCTGTGAACTTGAGCAGTGTATTCTAATAATGTTGGATAAAGGAATCCATAACTGTAAATTAGTTCCAGTATTGGTGGTGCTTTTCATGTCAAATACGTCCTGCAATCCTCTGTATACGCATGGCACCAGATTTCAGAGTGACAGTGTTCTCTGCACCCTCAGTTTTCTGAAGGGCTTAAAAATTATTAATTTTGTTCTTCCAACATTGCTGTTGTTGTCGTAAGGATAGGAATGACAACTTCCATGACGGTGAAATGTGAGAGCTGAAGTTGGAAGCCTATCACTTTTCTTTTTTCCCGAGTCTTTAGATTTAAAATGGATTTCTTACAGAAGACAAATAGTTGAGATTTTTGCTTCTTTTTCTTATCTCCTCTACCATTTTTTAACTGGTGCATATAGATTGTTCACATTTAAAGTTATTGCAAACATAGTTAGGTTACTATTTATCATATTTTTTACTTGTTGCATTTGCTCTGTGTTTCTTTTTTCTACCTTCTTCCATTTTAATTGGCCATTTTATATTATGATATTTCATCTCCATCTTATTCCTTATAAGCAAAATACAGTGAGCATCTCTCTGGGTTCTTATTTGTTTGTTTGTTTGTTTTTTGGAAGGGTGGGAGTTTGGATTAGCTTTGTTTACAAATTATCTCTAACATAAATGACAATTTTACTATTATATTGTGAACTTTTGGTCCCATCTTCATAAATAGAAACACTGGAATAAAGAGAAAGAAAAAGAGAAAGAGAGACAAGGAAAAAGTAAGGAAGGAAGGAAGGAAGGAAGGGAGGGAGGAAGGGAGGGGAGAGAGAAGAAAGAAAAGAAAGAAAGAGAGAGAGAGAGAAAGAAAAGAAAGAAAGAAAGAAAGAAAGAAAGAAAGAAAGAAAGAAAGAAAGAAAGAAAAAGAGTCAACCTGTAAAGAACTGCCCTAGCTTTAACATAAAATGTATATGCTCTTTTGTGTTTGTGAAATTAAAAAAGAAGAGAAAAAAATAAAAGAAATAGGATCATAATAAAGAATTCAGGTAAACGAATGTAAATTAATTAGTACCTTGTATATGGTAAATTCTCAATTTAAGATTAATACAACTCTGATTTTATTATTTCTATTAATGAACAAGTAAATAAAGGATTTGCTATGTTTATTAATTGCTTTCAGGAGAAACATTTTGAAATCTATTTAACTTTAAAAATATACATGTCTACTCTTCAATGCACTGAGAAAGACACAACATCACTTTTGCCAAAAAATACATGACCTCAATCGAATAACAAGGATGCCTCAAGCAAACACAAATTGAAGGATGCTCTACAAGGCATCCAGCCTGTTCTCTTACAAAATGCCATGCTCAGGACAGAGGAAAACAGAATGTGGACTGTCCAGATTGAAGGAGACTGAGATGTGTCATGGAAACTACATCCAGTGTGTGTTCTGGGGCTGGCCATTGATGTGATTTTATTTCCTATTAAAAAAACCATTATTAGGGCAATTGACAAAAGATAGTTAAGGTCTGTAGATTAGATCGTAGTATTATATTAATGTTAATTTCCTGATTTAGTTCACTGTACCATGGTAATATCCTAGTTCTTAGGAAATAGTATTTACTGCTATAAAGTATTAGTATTTAGGGATAAAGGGGCATGGGGCTGCAACTGACATTTAAATGGTTCACAAACATGATAATATGAATATATAGGAAACGGTAAAGCCGACGTGGTAAGGAGAAATAGTAACAATCGCAGGGGTGGGGTAGAAGTAGATGGAAGTTCTTTTATACTATTTTCTAAACTTTATATAACTCTAAAATGATTTGAAAAATATGTGGTCATATAAAATATGCCATAGCTCTGATGTGTTACTAAATTCAAAAGTAAGCGAACTTTAAACTAATTACAGATCTCAGGAAGGTGCCAGAATATATAATTCTTTATGTTCTGTATCAGACTTTTACCTTTGATAAAAATAATGTACCCCTGTGGGTTTTTGAACATTTAATCTCTGTCTAAAAAGAGTATTTTATATGGTTCATTTTTAACGTAAATGTTCTGTAAATTTTTCTGCTAAATTTGTTTATGAGGTCATGGTTTCTTATTTACAAAAAGTCAGTAATTCTATTCTAGTTCATAAACTAGATTAAAATATGATGTCTTTGCTGATAACACAATTTTGGTTTGTAACATGCAATGATATTCTTTAATTTTGCACTTAGATCACTTTTTTTTTTTTTTTTTTTTTTTTTTTTTTGCTTGGCAATGACCTACACACTGGTGCTCAGACCCTAGCTCCTTGTTTGGCTTCTGGTCATGTCTTTTTTTCTTTGACCAAAACTCTTCTAGATCCCTATGTGTCCATTGCACCATTTTTCCCTTGAGTGACTTTGGCTGCAAAAGGAACAGCACATAATTAAATGAGTATATTCTAAATTATTATATAAGCACAAAAGGGAAAATTTACTAGTTCTTTGGGCAAGTTGATAATTTAAAAAAAAATAGATATTTTTCCCCCTTGGATTCAGTGACCTAAAATGTTTGTTTTAGTAAGACGGATTTGAGCTTTGTAAGGACAGAGCCAACTGCCTAAAGTAATTCTAGCCAAAAATTCACGGTTTGCTGACCCTCTAAATTACCTGGCTCCCTGTGCTCTTGGTCTCAGCTACTGTACGCATTGGAAAGAAACAGGCTTTAGAAAGGCAATATGGGTATTATGTTAATTTCAAACAATCTGAAAATGCAATAGAAACTGCTTTGGAAATCACATGAATCCTCTAGATAATATCAATATATTGGCAAACACAAGCTTTTCTGCCCTACAATGAAACATTAAATGCATAAACAACAGCACTCTGGAAATGCCCTTATGTGTGGGATTTGCATTACGCCATGAGTAAGTAAAACTGATGCCCATCAGTGACTTTGTACTTTACAATATTTGCCTATATTTATTATTTGGAAGGACTCAACTATTTTCTCGAAGTGGCAAACAGTAATTTTCAGGACGAATATGCATCTAGTTTTTGATGAAAATTATAGAGAGGCTCACAGTGAAAATCCATGTTACAAGCAAAGTTAGGGAACAAATTTAGAAAAAAAAAAAAAGGAAGGAATTTGGAAGATGGCTGAACCCCGGCTTTGCCACTTATCTGCCAGGTTATGTTACCTTGGATAAGTTACTTAAACTCTAATCTCTACGTTTCATAAATATTAAATGAAAATTTTATAACCAGATACACAAATATACATATATAAGAAATTTAAAAATTAAAATACTTTATAACTTGGAAATGGTAGCCAAATGTTTATCAATACTATCCGAGCAAGGAAAGTGCTGATCCCTGAACTCCATGCTGTTTTACGCCTTTCCAAGAAATAGAAATAATGGTTTAAAAGTCAGATTTTCCAGTGTGACAGAATCCAGAAAGAAAAGACAGTTTGGGTTTTTATTCCACCGCTGTGTTTAAAGCGTCTTGATGAGGTGTTACCCCACTGCATGGTTTTCACTGCCTCCACTGCCGCCCTCCCAATTGATGGGAAAGCAGCAGCACTAATTAGCTGGAAAAAGCATTGGCAGCCAGCTCAGAAATTCTCTCTCCAAAACTTCAGGTTTTCACATTCACTGTCATGCTTTGGGAACACTTCATCTGTGTGGGATGACAGGAGTTTGGGAGAAGATTCCAATAAATTAATATCACAAGGCTGTTCAAAAAAAACAAACCGCATGGCTACAGAGAACATACGAAAGCAAAACCAAACAAAAACGAAGCACTTTTTTCCCTTGGCTGCAGAGGATAAGCTATTCTTATCAGCCATTCTCAACTCCTGAATGGCATTAAATGGATTTCATCAAAATGCTTTCCAGAAATAATTCTTTAAAAGCAACTCAGTATCTACAAAGTCACTCCTGTTTTTAGAAGCTTATGTTTTCTCTTTATGTAGTTTAAATATATTTCATGACAGCCTGGGTAAAAGGATGCTGGAACAGATAAAAATTAAGTAAGTGACGGGGAAGAGACTGTGTTTGTGGCGATGTGAAGAGTGTGTCTCATTTCGCAAGGACCACCGTTGCTATGTAGACAGCAGCTGTTTTAATGTAGAAATGGTGGCTCGTACAGAAAAATCTTTCAAATTTTCAAACATAAAAACACTAATTTGCATTCCTAGTGCTAATATGTTATTCCTAGTGCTTATATGTTAGAAACTAATTTTTTTTTTTTTTTTTTTTTTTTTCTGAGACACAGTCTCGCTCTGTCGCCCAGGCTGGAGTGCAGTGGCGCGATCTCGGCTCACTGCAAGCTCCGCCTCCCGGGTTCACGCCATTCTCCTGCCTCAGCCTCCCAAGTAGCTGGGACTACAGGCGCCCGCCACTACGCCCGGCTAATTTTTTGTATTTTTAGTAGAGACGGGGTTTCACCGTTTTAGCCGGGATGGTCTCGGTCTCCTGACCTCGTAATCCGCCCGCCTCGGCCTCCCAAAGTGCTGGGATTACAGGCGTGAGCCACTGCGCCCGGCCAGAAACTAATTTTTTAAACCAGCTTGCAGTAGCAGCGGCATTTAAAACCAAAACATTTTAATAAAGCTATTATTTGCAATAGTTATATAAAAATATAGAACTTACAGGATTACATTTGAAAAATATGCTGAAGAATGTACATTGAAAATTATAAAACTTTCATAAACAGCACTTAAAATGAAATACATGAAGCTTTATATACTATATTCATGGATATAAAATCCTAATTTCTTAAAGTTTTCATTTCTTCCCCAACCAACATGTAGAGATAATCATTCTAATTCTAAACTAGTTAAATCCAATGTATAAGCATATGTATCATGATCTGTGTACATACGTTGTGTGAAATTTCACAAATCAATTTTTAAATTTATATTGAAAGTTAAAAAGTCAAGAATAGAAATATTCCTCCAAAGAAGAGAAGTAAAATAAATTACTTTGAAATTATTATTGTTTAAGAGAGATTGTATTGGGGACATATGAATGCACAAAAATTATAACATAGAAAGCACAGAAATATATCTGAAACCTTAATATATAACAGTGACGACATGATAGGTTGCTGAAGAAGAGAAGCTGTTGAAAAATAGAGGTGAAAAAATAATTATTCATGTTAAAAAAGTGAAAATGTGGTTCTCACCCTACATCATATATTTACATTTAAACCAGAAAAGTAATTTAAATGTTGAAGGCAAAACCAAAAATTTTATAGAGAAAAAAGTAACATATATGTATGCATATATATGTACATTTTACTAACTTTTTAAAGTTCTAAGTTCTGATATTAAAATATTTATTTCAGTACAAATGTGTAAATAATAAAGATCAATCAATATGAATCAATTCTAATTAAGATTTTCTATTCATAAAAGTACCCATTAAGAATATTAAAAGCACCCCACACACCAGAAAACAAGACAAGAAGGCAAGAAGCCATTTGCCACATGCATAACTCCCAAAGGCCTGGTGTAAACAATACAGAAAAATTCTGAAATTTGATAAGAAAAATAAAAACCAAAGAAAACAATGGTCAAAAACATGAATAGATATTTCACAAAGAAATATATATGGCTAATAGGCATAAAAAGAGATGTTTACAATCATTTACACAGAGAGATAAAAATATACATTTACACCTGTTATGTTGGCAAAAGTAACAAATATGATAATACTCAGCTGTACTAAATATTTTAGTTTATCATGTCTCAGGCACAATCTCAGTGATAGTAAACTTTGTGAAAGCATTTTGTGATAAAATGTGACATTATCTTGTGAAGTTAATGATGTGTAGATTATGTAGCCAGTTTACCCCATTCCTTGATTTATATCCAGGACAAACATCCAGGCGAACATTTAGAGTGGTCTCTTTACCGTTCAAAAAGTTGAAAAACAGCCAGGCGTGGTGGCTCACGTGTGTAATCCCAGCACTTTGGGAAGCTGAGGCAGGCGGATCACCTGAGGTTGGGAGTTTGAGACCAGCATGACCAACATGGAGAAACCCCATCTCTACTAAAAATACAAAATTAGCCAGGCGTGGTAGTGCATGCCTGTAATCCTAGCTGCTCGGGAGGCTGAGGCTGGAGAATCACTTGAAGCCGGGAGGCGGAGGTTGCGGTGAGCTGAGATCGCGCCACTGCACTCCAGCCTGGGCAACAAGAGCGAAACTCCATCTCAAAAAAAAAAAAAAAAAGTTGAAAACCTTCCATTGACAGAATAATGGATAAATAAAACATAATATAATCAAATCATGAAATATGATAGAGCATTTAAGATGAATAACTCACAGCTCCAGGCAAAAATTTGTATAACCCTTATTAGCACAATGCTGAATATAAAAGCAAATTTTAACAGATAGTATACAGTATGATATACCCTTTATAGTTCAAACCTTGTACAATTTAGCAATGTGTTTTAATGAGTTAATATCCAAACTATTTAAGGAGCTCAGACAGCTGAATAGACAGAAATCAAATACCAAATTAGAAAATGAGCAGAGAACCAGAATAGACATTTCTCAAAAGAAGAATGTTGGGGTTTCCATGGGTGTGCCCTTGAAAATTCAAGTTAAAACTTAATCCGCACGCTGGTGTTGGGGAAAGGTTGTCCTTCTGGGGAATGATTAAGTTCCTCCGCCTTCTGCCATGTGAGGACACAGGGTTCCTTCCCCCTGGAGGATGCAGCAACAAGGCACCGTCTAGAAGCAGACAGCAGCCCTCACCTTACTCTGAACCTGCAGGTGCCTTGCTCTTGGACTTCCCAGCCTTCCTAGCTGCCAACAATCAATTTCTGTTCTTCACAAATTACCCAGTCTGAAGTGTTTTGTTATAGCAGCAAAAGGGGATGAAAACAAAGACATGGAAGTGGCCAGCAGGTCTGTGAAAAAATGTCAACAGCACTAATCGTCAGGAAAATGCAAACCAAAACCACAATGAAACATCTGCCCACCCCTGTTCGAGCGGCTATTATCACAAATGGAGAAGAGATAAGAAGTTTTAGTAAGAATGTGGAGAAAAGAGAAACTTTGTATGCAATTTGTGAGGATATAAATTAGTACAGTCATTATAAAGACAGTATGGAAGTTTCTCAAAAAATTAAAAAATAGAAATACCATATGATCCATCAACCCCCAATTTGGTGTATATCCCAAGAAAATGAAATTAGTAAGTTGAAGAAGTGTTTCAATCCCTATGTGGATTGCAGCTACATATCACAATAACCAAGATATAGAATAACCTAAGAGTCATAAATATATACGTTTTATTTGTTAATTAAAAATCGATAAATCATGTTTAAAATTGCAATTAAATCTATAAAAGAAATAAACAGAAATACAAATAAGCACACTATAGCAATGCCATACTCAGCAATAAAAAGGAAGAAACAACTGATACCAAAAAATATGGGTGGTTAAGAGACGGCTTTTTGGCCGGGCGCGGTGGCTCACGCCTGTAATCCCAGCACTTTGGGAGGCCGAGGCGGGTGGATCACGAGGTCAGGAGATCGAGACCATCCTGGCTAACAAGGTGAAACCCCGTCTCTACTAAAAATACAAAAAATTAGCCGGGCGCGGTGGCGGGTGCCTGTAGTCCCAGCTACTCGGGAGGCTGAGGCAGGAGAATGGCGTGAACCCGGGAAGCGGAGCTTGCAGTGAGCCGAGATTGCGCCACTGCAGTCCGCAGTCCGGCCTGGGCGACAGAGCGAGACTCCGTCTCAAAAAAAAAAAAAAAAAAAAAAAAAAGAGACGGCTTTTTGAAATAGAAGAAATTTAAATGTTGATCTGAAAGACTAGAAAGTATAATTTTATAAAGAAAGAGCATTCTAAATTTAAACACACACACATGTGCACGTGCACACACACACACACACACCATTGGGCATATTGAGGAACTGAAGAAAAACCACTCCAAACGGAATTATGATGGTGTAAGGAAACTTGCTTCTGCAGGAATCAACTCTAGTACATCCAGTTGCCTTCCCTTCTTGGGAGGACAACACTGTCTTCTCTTTTGTTTTTAATATATATATATATATATATATATATGAGACAGAGTCTTGCTCTCTCACCCAGGCTGGAGTATAGCAGCACGATCTCAGCTCACTGCAACCTCTGCCTCCCAGGTTCAAGCGATTTCTTCTGCCTTAGCCTCCCAAGTAGCTGGGATTACAGGCACCCGCCACCACACCTGGCTAATTTTTGTATTTTTAGTAGAGACTGGGTTTCACCATGTTGGCCAAGCTGGTCTCAAACTCCTGACCTCAAGTGATCCACCTGTCTCAGCCTCCCAAAGGGCCGGGATTACAGGTGTGAGCCACCTCGCTCAGCCCTGCCTTCTCTTTTAGATTAAGATGCCAGATTGGATATACCTTGAGTTAACTCTGAGTTTATATTTCTATGTATAGGGAAATTGTGAAGGTTGCTGAGGACTATTAATCCAATATTTCTCAGATGTTAATATGGCACTATTGCAGTGACGTGGGAAGGAGACTAGGAAAGGGATCCATAATACAGGGAAGCCTGAAGTAGGAACCCATCCATCATCTGCTTACCACCCACAGGGTGAGGCTACAGGCAGTGGGGGCATATGAAACCCGGGGAAGCCCTTGGGGCTGTGGCCTGGTGTCAGTGAGAATGGCCTGCCCTGAAACAGTCCTTGGCAATTCCTTCAGAGCTCTGATGGCTCAGCCTCTAGTAGAAATACAAATGCTCCCAAAGTCTCACCATGTCCTGTGCTCTCACCACATGGGTGCTCACATCTTCATGTAATCCTCTCCCTGAGCCTGGGAGCAACCCGTGACTTGTTTTTCACTGACAGAATACAGCAAAGGTGATGGGCATTCCTTCCATGGCGACAGTATTCTGTGCAGCCTCCATCACTAGCTGACTTACTCTAAAGCCTCGCTGTCCTCTTTGGCTCTGAAGAAGCACGTAGCCATGAGTTCTGCAACTCTAAGGAAATGAATTCTGCCAAGCAGTTGAGTGAACTCAGAAGGGGACCCTCCCCTGCTTTAGCCTCCAGATGACAAACCTGTCTCTCTCACCTTGATTGCAGCCTTGCAGAGACCTGACTCTGCCATGTCAGGATTCCTGACAGAGAAACTGTGGAATAGTAAATATGTGTTGTTCCAAGTAACTGTGTTTGTGGTCATCTGTTACACAGCGTAGGACACTAACACAGTATCTGTAGTGTTGTCGGAGTGAATAATGCCGTCCACTGTTTCTTGCTCGGCCCTGGTGGATGTGCATTGCCCAAGGCTAGCCACAGATAAGAGACGCTATTTTGTTTCTCATAAGTTTTCTGTATTCCTTAGAGAGAAGTAAAGTGCTGTTCTGATTAATTTTTGGCTGTGAGTTTGGGCTTAACGTAAAGGATCTCTAGAAAGTCATCGGTGCAATCAACTCATGCAAAATGGTGGCAAAAACACATGAGATTACCAGCTCATCTCCTCCAAGGATGCTATCAGAGAGAACAGCTGTAAACATGGCATAAATTCGATTCAAGTTAAGCACTACAATCTCGTTGAGGCTATTGATCTTGTCCCTAATAAATTAGTGGGTGAATGCCTGGCTGGGCAGAACAAAGGTTGTTGAAAATTCCTTACCTGTAAACACTCTGGAATGAATCTCAACCTTGCCTCTTTTCCCCTGCATTTATAAAATAGAGATTAGGAAATAATTCCTAGTTATTCACCTTTAATGTTAAAGGAAAGTGGTGTTCTGCACCAATTAATACATGGTTTATAGGGTCCCATATGTGGTGTGCACACTGGTTGAAGAAAGCACAGATTGAAAGAAAGACAAGATTAAATGAAGGAGTGGGCAGGTTTCTTTCTGAGAAGCTGAAGTGTGGGCGTGTTTAAATACTTTGAGGCAGGGACAAGATTTTTTCTAAAGCTATGTTTTGTTGGTTTATTTATTATAAAAATAAATTTGGTAAACTATCATCCATAAAATGATCTGGTAAGTATAAAAAAAATAAAACCTCCATGTATATAGTAGACTCTCCAGAAAATGGGTAAATGCTGCAGTAAATAAAAGAACAATATATAAAGTTAGACATACAGCGGTACTTACTCTCCAAATGTGGCCTTCAGCAATTTATTGACTACTGAAAAAAACATATGACAGCATGAAGCCGGCAAGCGGCAGATAATAGACTATCTTGAAAGAGGATCCATTTATTCCACACACAGTGGTGGGTGATAAATGGCTGTAATGCTGGTGCTTCCTATTTTCTTCTCTCTTCCCCCACAGCATATCACAGATCAGAGACTAATAGCCCCCCAGGAGAAGGTGTCTCGACACAGCCCCTTCCATCTGTGATAACTGTGGTTATCAAACATCTGTCTGCAACTTGCAATAGGGACAGGCTGATAGCTTGTCATTTGTCTACCAAAACACTTGGTATTTTCAGCTATAAAACAGGAGAAAGTAACATAATGTAATTTATTTGTGTAAATGGAAGAGGTTTTATGATCCAAAAGCCAGAGTTTAGCTTAGAGGCCTTCACAGTTTAACCATTTCTCTTAATACATACCCCAAACAATAACGTCTGTCATAAAGATTTCCCACAGTGAATACCAAGCTTATCTCTCAACTACCTAATAGCGAGGCTTATTTCAATCTTGTGCTTTAGAAAAATTAAAATTAAAGAAACAAACAGAGAAACTCCATCAATTTCACAATGACATGGAACCATATGAAAGTTCTAGTGTCTAATGTGTGTCAGCATTTAATTCAAGCAAGGCTTAATGTCTCTTTGAGGCAACTGCCTAAGAGTTTTAATCAGCCTGCACCAGGCTGACTGGCTGGCAATGGGCACAGCAACACAATAAACAGCATGCCGGGGGCGTGGTCCTCACATCCTGGGAGGCTCTGATCTTGCTCCTTTCTGCAGGCCAGGACTGATGGTGGGTGGTTCAGTTTCAAGACCTGGCTTATGAGGATCAATAGGGATACTCGAACCTCGAAAAGTAGAGGCCACATGGTAATGCTTAACTGTCACAAGCCAGGTGGGGTGAATTGTCATAATGGCTGGAAAGGCTGGAGTGGCAGCCAGGGAGTTATGGGATTGACCCACAGGGAGTTATGAAGATTGTTCATAAAATACAGTATCTCTGCTCACACGCACCTAGCGTCACTTCCCAGTCTGCTCAATAGGAATAAATACCGCAGGGGTGGTCAGGAGGCAGAGGGCAGGCACCGCAAAAAAAAAAAAAAAAAACTAAAAAGTCAAGACTCTTTGTGTGCTTCAAGTGGATCCAGTTTTCAGACGCAGGCCCCACTGCTTGAAGGAGAGCTGAAGTTCTTGCGGTTCCAAGGAAGGCGTCCAGCGTAAAGATTCTCCAGTCCTTCCAGTATCTTTACTTGGGAGACTGCACACTGGGGAAAAATGCATTTTGAGGCCTGTCTGATGCAAAGTTCTTGTTGTCATTGGTACCTTAAGAGCTAAGGTGACATTAAAGCCTCCTCATAGAGTAGGCGCGAGGTGAGGTCAGGTGATAAATGGAGTTCTGATGCAAGCCTGGCTCAACATGGTTCCCACTGGCCACCTCCACCTTATGGTTATTTCCACTGCCCTCAAATATCTCTGGTTGTTGAAGAAACCTCCATATTTGTTCCTTGACTTGTGGAGTGATGATTATTGTACTTAAGATGAAGTGAAAGCCTCAAAAACTTTCTTCCCCTTGTCTAAACAATGCATCAAAAATGGTACTACATCCCAGAGGGGGAAAGGCAAAAATTACTGCCACTATGAAGGACCTAAGAGCTGTGGTGGGGTGGTCCTCACTATATCTCCATTTACCTCAGCAGATGTATCCTTTAAAGACCAGCCAGATCCCAGAGCACGACAGTGAGCTGTGATGAATGTCGCCAATCAGTGCTCCAGCTGCAGCCTCCCTGCCAGATGCCTCCTTGAAGATGCAGCTGCTGAGCTGGTGGCTTGAGACTTTTCCACCCGTACTTCAAAAGATCAGAAAGAATTTTCATTCACTTCAAAAAATTAAAAGGGTGTCTTTCTCACCCAGTGTCAGGGCTGTGTTAATAGTCACCCCATCTGTCATGATATTGTCTAATGAGAACGGAACCAGTACGGTCCATGAAATAGCTGCGATCCACAAAGTGGTCCACTGTCTCATTACCACCATGCCTTGATGATGGATGAGATTTTTAAAAAGTGGCTGGTGCACTAGGGCCCTTGGGAAGAGCTCCAGGAAGGACCCAGGACTCAGTGAAAGTGTTATTTGTGGGCCATGACGGGATGTATCTACACAATAAGGACACATGATGGCATGTTGAATCTCCCACTAACAAGGAAGAAGTATAGCAAGTAGAGGCTGCATATTCCAGATAAACTACTGAGACAGTGGGAGGTGGGAGCTGAGGGTGAGGGCACCGGGCATGGGGATTAAAGAAGGAGGATGGGGAGTAGTCTGCTCACTCAGATCAACATTGATCTTCAGGAAAACAGGTCTCCCAGAACCCTAAAGGACATTTCCAAGCTTTAATTCTGCCAGGTGCAGTGGCTCACGCCTGTAATCCCAGAACTTCGGGAGGCTGAGGTGGGTGGATCACCTGAGGTCATGAGTTTGAGACCAGGCTGACCAATATGGTAAAACCCCATCTCTACTGAAACTACAAAAATTAGCCGGGCATGGTGGTGGGTGCCTGTAGTCCCAACTACTCGGGAGGCTGAGACAGGAGAATCACCTGAACCCAAGAGGCGGATATTGCAGTGAGCCGAGATTGCGCCACCGCAGTCCACCCTGGATGACAGAGCAAGACTCTGTCTCATAAAATAAAATAAAATAAATAAAGGAGTAGATTGTTCCGTAGTAAGTGGTGTGCCGCCGTGACACGCACTCAGGGCCGCGATGCAAGCTGCAGGGAATGCTTCCAGAAGACAGCGTCTATCACTGATTCATCTTCAGAGAGGGCCTTGGCTGAGCAGCCTTGTCGCAATTCATGCACTGTTCCCACGGTGGCTGAGCTAAGTGACTGAACGGTGTGGGGTATGGAGAGACTGTTCCTCTCTGACCTCAACTTGGAAAAACTGAGTGTTTCTCTCGTTCTCGGAACTGCCATTAAATTGGCCGAGGCTCCCGCTGACAGTGCATGACAGGCCAACTACCCATCTTCCTAGTCTCGTTTCTTTTCCTTCCTTTTCCTCCTTTTGACAATACACTTTGTTTCGATTATTACACAAAGTATGGGTGGTATCATTTATTTATTTTAATTCTATTTTTAAAATTTTAACTTTTTTTTTCTGTTGCCCAGGCTTGAGTGCAATGCCGCGATCTTGGCTCACTGCAAGCTTCGCCTCCCAGGTTCAAGTGATTCTTCCACCTTGGCCTCCCAAGTAGCTGGGATTACAGGTGGCTGCCACCATGCCTGGCTAATTGTTGTATCTTTAGTAGAGATGAGGTTTCACTCTGTTGGCCAGGCTGGTCTCAAACTCCTGGCCTCACGTGATCCGCCCCTCCAGCCTCCCAAAGTGCTAGGATTACAGGCGTGGGCCACCACCCCCAGCACTTTTATTTTAGGTATGGGAGCACACGTGCAGGTCCGTTTCGTGGGTCTATTTCATGATGCCGATGTTCGGGGTATGGATCCCGTCACCCGGGTAGTGAGCACAGTACCCCATAGGTAGTGTTTTAACCCTCCCCCTTCTCCTCGCTTTACGCTCTAGTTGTCCACAGCGTCTGTTGTTCCCCTCTTCGTGTCCACGAGTACCCAATGTTTAGATTTCACTTATCAATCATCACATGCAGTATTCGATTTTCTGTTAAAATGCAATTCAAGTTTTAAAACGTGTAATTAGCACCAAGTAAATAGCAATAACAAAATACAGGCTCTTATTTCAAAGATTATGGGATGACATGTTGCTCTATTGGAATTTATGAGAATTTCAGATGTGCAAAAATGAACGTCTTCTCATTCATATCTGGTCATCTCTTGCACATATTCAGACAAACTAGATCATGAGTGAAGCTGAGGGTTCATTACTGACTGCTCAGTGGTAGTGTTTCATGGTAGCTAAGAAATTGGAATATTGTTTCTATTGTACTTTCTGACAAATGATTGGAAAACCAGAATCGAACATGGGTCTTAAAATCTATTATAGGGTATGTTCATTACAATAATGTAAAGTATATTCTTAACCTCAACAGATTTCCTTCAAGGAACACTGGCATCTTCAAAGTTAGGTACGGGAGGTAGTTCCCATTTCACAGTTCACCCTCTGCGTGGATGTTTGAGGCCCTTAAATTTCAATAATCATGATTCAGAGTTATGATTATATTTTCAAACAGACTCACATAAATGCCCCTTCCCACCTGATTCCAGCCTCTGTGAGAAATCTAATTAATGAACATTAGTGGAGGAAAGCTTTAAAATGAGTCATTTTTTAAAGACTGTGAAAAGCAATCTTTATTCCATGTGATTTATTTCTAGTTTAAGCTATAGCACAGTGGAAAGAAGGAAATCACACATGTGCACTTATATATCATCTTATTTGAGATACTTCGAATACATTTATACCTATGATATTTGTTAGATATTTCCCTGGAGTCTAATACTGAATAATCACACATTTATATACGAAAGCTATTTTACACACATTTTCTGTTATCTTGTGCCTCAATCTTGCACTGATCACAAAACTCATGACATTTGAAAAATTCGGAGTCACAGCTTCCCCACACATATATATATAAACGCGATTTCTTTGTTTAAAAAAGTATGTATGTAGTTCAACCACAGAAAAGAAGAGAAAAAAATAAAACGCTGAAATCCTCTCTGATCCTGACTGCCTTTTCATCACCATCGGGCTTCCTTATTCATCTTGGCAGACAAATCTGTCTCCGAGTCTCCTGGTCTCATAAGCTCGTTCTGGTTGGCTCAACACCCTGCACTCTGAGGCTACGAGCTTTGTCAGTCTCCAATGCCCACTTCTGTAACACGAATGGGCCAGTCTCAGCCCTTCTCCTTCTGGACCTTCAATAATATTTCACCTAGTTGGTAACTCTCTTCTTTCACTTATATTTTCCGCCCTTGGCCTCCAGGAAAACACATCTCCCTGTTTTGTTTTTAACTTTTAATGTGAAATTCCCCAAGTTCAGTCCTGACAGCTTCTCCTCTCTTCTCCTCCGTGTCTTGAAGATCACGTCCAGTCTCAAGGTTGTGTTAGCATTGATACACCAGCAATCCCCTGAATTCTCATATGTCTACTCTGGACCTTTTTCACAAAACCGAGACTCCTCTACCCAACTCAAATAGAGACCAATGAACACGTTCCTGGGAGGTTTTACACACACCTCAGCCTGGTCTAGAGCTGAAATCCTGCCCTCCCAACCCCTTCCCTCCGTCAGAATAGGCAGCCCTCCTTCCTCTCAGAACAGAAACCTGGAAACTGCGATGCTTTTCTTTCCACCACAGATCCCAGTACATGTGGAATCCAATATCAAATCCTGTTGACTCAATTTTTAAAATGTTTCTAAAATCCCAACTCCTCCTGCCACCTCTTTGCTACCTCCTGACACAAACCGACATCCCTTGCCCCTGGACTGAGTCTCCAAATGATCTCTCTTCCTTTCGAAACCCTTGCACGCTTGCAATCTACACTCCACACAGCAGCCACAGGATGCTGGTCACAGTCAGCCACGCTGGGTCACCTCCTGGACCACAAGGGCTCACCCCTGGCCCCTTCTTTCCCTGACCTCGTCCTCTGTGATTCTTTCCTCCCTCGCTAAGTGGGGGGCGCGGCAGCCTTGCTGTGCTCGCACCGGAGCAGGGCTTCTCCCACAGGGCCTCTGAGTTCTGCCTCTGGAGTTTTGTTTATCCCGGAAAGTCCCAGCCACCGCTTTTGTTCTGATTTATTTTTCCTTATAGCTGTCACCTCTAACGTCTTACCTATTGCATTTCTCTGCCTTTCGTCTGACTCCTTCCATCAGAATATGGGCCCTAGGAGGAAGGACGTGGCTTGCTGTGTTCACTGTTCCATCCTCAGCGCCGGCGGTGGGCCCTGACGCATCTCAGGTGCTTTTCTTTGACTCTTCATGAGTACGTTAAAATGGAAGATGGAATGAAGCCATACATAACTATTTAGACTCCATCTGAACCCTGCAGTGAAGGATTGGGTATTGCTAGGTGCAGGGACATCAACCGACCTTATGAAAAATGCCAAACTCTCGCTCAAAAGCAGCATGCATCCACACGGAAAGAAGGAGGGATATGGTGAGTACGTGCACAGACGCTGGAGAAACACTGCCTGTGTACAAACCCCGGGCCCCTGCGACTTGCCTTGTGACATCGAGCAGGTCTTTTAACTGCTCTTGACTTAGTTTCCAATTCTATGTAAGATGGGGAAATTATCATATTTACTTTTGGAGATTATTATTAACATATATATGATTACTTATTATACAATGTTTGCACAACTGTATTATAACAGTGTATTATAATAGTGTTTATTACCTATATTATTATGAGCATATATTATATATTATTATGAGCACACATATAATAATTATAGAATTATTACACACGCATATACTATAATTTTATATATTACCTATATTATTATGAGCATATATATGGCATATTATTATGAGCATACATATGATAATTATACAATTACACAGGTATTATAATATCTATTACTTATATTATTATGAGCATATATATGACATATTACTATAAGCATACATATAATAATTATACAATTATTACACAGGTATTATAATATTATGTTACCTACATTATTATGAACATATATATGACATATTATTATGAAAATACATATGATAATTATAAATTATTACACAGGTATTATATTATATTATATATTACCTATATTATTATAAGCATATATATGACATTATGAGCATGCATGTGATAATTATACAATTATTACACAGGTATAGGTAATAATATAGGTAATATGTAATATGTAATATTACCTATATTATTATGAGCATACATATTACACATTTTTATGAGCATATATATACAAGTTTTATATTATATTATATATTACTATATTATTATGAGCATATAAATGCACAATTCAGCCCTTTTGTAAAATGACAATCCATGAGCGTGTCTGAGATTTCATGATCCTTCCCAGCCTCAGCAATTGAATACATACCATTCCTAGTCATTTTTGATCGATCAGGTTGTTGATGATATGCGAATATGTTTATTTTCTGAACCCTCCTCTTTACCTCTCCTGCCTATTTTATTAGCATTCATATGAATGATCTGAGTTCTTGGCTTTCATCGAGGCCTGGGAGTCTGCGTTCACCCTAACTTTTTAAGACTTAGCACATTTGCACCAGGCCTACCTCACCTTGCGTTTGGCATTCTCATACTCTCCATGTTCTTACCTGGTCTCTGTTCTCACACTCTTAAATAGTCTCTGTTTGATCTTCTGTATCCCATCCGGAGTGTCACCTCCCCCAGGAAGCCTTAGAAAGGTCCAGATTGACGTGGTGTGTCACCCGCCTGTTTCCACAGCATGCTGTTCCTACCACGACCGTGGCCCAGGACGTGTCTCAGGCTTGTGGATATTTCAGCTGTCAGTGCAACTGGTCAATAACCTCCTATGGGGGCAGACATCACATCTCTGCTTTCTTTGATTAGGTGTTCAAAACAATGCCTGATACATTGAGTGAACACAAAGACACCTTATGCTTGTTTAAAAATTAAATAAATGACTCACACAGAGAGTGACGCAGAATTTTAGTGGAACTTTGCTCTGTAAACTGCACATCTAGGAGCTGGCCTCAAGTTTCTTACTCTAAATTTTCACATATATTTATTTGTATGTGAGATTAATGTGGGCTAATAAATAGTTCAGCTCTTTCATAAACCAGTCACCCTTCTGCCTTGATCAGTCTTCTGCTGCCTTCGGCTTGTTAATATCACTGACTGAGGAAGAGTCATGCTCATTTCCTCTCTGCCTGGGCAAGGTGGTGCCTATTCCAGAGTCCAACACTCAGGTCTACTTCTGTACCTAATAAAAATAGCTTTTTTCTAGTCTAGGCATAACCAAAGAGAGTTCGTTCCAAGGGTTGCCCTTTAGTACCTTTGTAAAAGTTTTCATTTCTAGTTTGTTTGACAGGGAATTAGTTTAGGTTCAGATTAAAATTTATCCTACGAGGATACTTATAATGAAAGAAAAAAGAAAACTGAGCGATATGATGAAGACCAGACCTTTGCCCTTCAAAAACCTTTCTAAGAGGACGCCAGTTCTCAGAAAAGGATGTTCTTTCCGACATCAATTGGCAGGCAAATTCTGATTTGGAAATTGAGCATTGCTATCATTTTATCAATCATTGTTTCACTTATTATCATTGTTTGGGTGCATTCTTGCAAGAACAACAGTCGAGCTCTTTACGGAACATTGCATCCCAGTAATGTCCCCTGTACTTAATTACAAAGGGCTTTGCAAATGATTATTTGGTGAGACTATTCCCCCTAGAATTATGCGCATTTATTTTTAAGTAGTCTTCAAAGGTTTGAAGCTAATGGTTTTTGTTTGTGGTTTTAAAAACCCACATTAAGAAGGCCCGTTGTGATACTGGTTATTAGAAAAGGCCACCTGTGGGAACAGAAAGAGTTTTATGAAAAAAAAGTGATAAGAAATACAAATTCAAGTCTTACCTCTTTCACAATGATGATGTTAGATTTGAGTCTTTTTTTTTTTCCTAGAATCTTGGTTTACATGATATTTAAAAAAAAAAGAGAATCATACTCAGAAAAACTTCCTAGCTGGGCAATTGTTTGGATCAAATGAAAAAATACGTAAGATACTAAATAACAAAAGAGTCACTGTGCAAATGTTATAATTGCATTCCTAACACTGTTGCTTTCAAAGATCGTTTGTAACATACAGCCCTTTTTCGGAACTCTTCACTTCCATTTATTAAGTTTTGGGCTCAGTAACTATCACTTTGTTTGTGTGTTTTCCCATAATAGGTCACTTTTTGGCTAAGTGAGAGGCTTGAGGTAAAGTGTTTGTTTTAGTTATAATTAGTACGACAGTTTCATCTTGTAAACAGATACTCCAGAGTGCATTAATTTCAGGCATTATCAACAATAAGGATTTTTTTTTAAGTAACTTATTGAGTTTAATTAATGAACCTTCAATAGATAAAATAGCAATTAAACTGAACTACTAAAATTATTTTTAGAAAGGGTAATGAAAAATGTTTATTTAAGTGTAGGATTATTATAAATGGACAGTGCTCTCTAAAGATACACTATATTCCCATGAAAATCATGAAGAATATGGCATGCCTATCTTCTTTTATTGCATTATGCAGATACTGTGTTTTTTACAAACTGAATTTTGTGGCAACCCTGAGTCAAGTCTATCAGCACCATTTTTCCTACAGCAGGTGCTCACTTTGTGCCTCTGTGTCACATTTTGACAATTGTATTAGTCAGGGTTCCCTAGAGGGACAGGACTGATCGGATAGATGTATATATGAAACGGAGTTTATTAAGGAGAATTGACTCATATGATCACAAGGTGAAGGCCCACAATAGGCCTTCTGCAAGCTGAGGAGCAAGGAAGCCAGTCCAAGTTCCAAAATCTCAGAAGTAGGGAAGCCGACAGTGCAGCCTTCAGTCTGTGGTCAAAGGCCCGAGAGCCCCTGCAAACCACTGGTGTAGGTCCAAGAGTCCAGAAGCTGAAGAACTTGGAGTCCAATGTTCGAGGGCAGGAAGCATCCAGCACAGGAGAAAGATGGAGGCCAGAAGACTTAACAAGTCTAGTCCGTCCACCTTCCTCTGCCTGCTTTTATCCTAGCCATGCTGGCAGCTGATTAGATGGTGCCCACCCAGACTGAGGGTGGGTCTGCCTTTCCCAGTTCACCAACTCAAATGTTAACCTCCTTTGGCAACACCCTCACAGACACACCCAGGAATAATACCTTGCATCCTTCAATTCAATCAAGTTGATACTCAATATTTGCCATCACATCAATGATAAAAATATCTCATTTTTTTCTTGTTATCACATCTGTGATGATGATCTGTTATCAGCGATCTCTGATGTCACTATTGTAATTGCTGAACCTCGCCCTGGAAGACAATAAACTTAATGAATGTTGTGTGTGTTCTGACTGCTTCAGATTGTGTGTGTTCTGCTATTTCCCAGCTCGCTCCCTCCCCCAGGGCCTCACTCTTCTCTGAGACAGAACAATATTAAACTCAGGCCAATGACTAACCCTACAATGGCCTCTAAGTGTTCAAGTGAAAGGAAGAGTTGCACACGTCTTACTTTAAATCAAAAGCTGGAAACTATTAAGTTTAGTGGAGAAGGCTTGTTGAAAGTCAAGAGAGGCCAAAGCTAAGCCTCTTGCACCAAACAGTTAATGAAGTTGTGAATGCAAAGGAAAAGCTACTGAAGGAAACTAAAAGTGCTTTTCCAGGTAAGAAAATAAAACAGCCTAATTGCTGATGTGGAGAAACTTTGAGTCGCCTGGATAGATCAGGCAAGCCACAAGATTCCCCTAAGCCAAAGCCTAACCCAGAGCAAGGCCCTGACTCTTAATTCTGTGAAGAATCAAAGGTGAGGAAGCTGGAGAATAAAAGTTTAAAGCAAGCAGAGGCTGGTTCATGAGATTGAAGGAAAGAAGTCATCTCCGTAACATAAAAATGCAAGATAAAGCAGCAAGTGCTGAGGGAGAAGCCATAGCAAGTTATGCAGAAGGTGTGGCTGAGATCATTGATGACTACACTAACAACAGATCTTCAGTGGAAACGAAACAGCCTGCTATTGGAAGAAGATGCCATCTAGGACTGCCATAGCTGGAGAAGTCAATACCTGTTTTCAAAGCTTCAAAGGATGAGCTGACTCCCCCGTTAAGGGGCTAGTGCAGCTGGTGACTTTAAGTTGAGGCCAATGCTCATTTACCATTCTGAAAATCCTAGAGCCCCTAAGAATTATGTGAAATTGGCCAGGTGCAGTGGCTCATGCCTATAATCCCAGCTGAGGCAGGCTGATCACTTGAGTAGTCAGGAGTTTGAGGCCAGCCTGATCAACATGACAAAACCTCATCTCTACTAAAAATACAAAAATTAGCCAGATGTAGTGGCATATGCCTGTAGTCCCAGCTACTTGGGAGCCTGAGGCTGGAGAATTGTTTGAACCTGGGAGGTGGAGGCTGCAGTGAGCTGAGATTGTGCCACTGCACTCCAGCCTGGGTGACAGGGCGAGCCTCCATCTCAAAAAAAAAAAAAAAAAAAAGAAAGAAAGAAAAAGATTTGTGCTAAATCTACTCTGCCTGTGCTCTATAAATGGAACAACAAAGCCAGGATGATAGCACATCTGTTTATAGAATGATTTACTGAATATTTTAAGCTCACTATTGAGACCTACTGCTCAAAAAAGAGAGTCCTTTAAAAATATGACTGTCTGCTGACAATGCACCTGTTCACCCAAGAGCTCCAAGATGAATGTCGTTTTCATGCCTGCTAACACAACATCCCTTTTGCAGCCCAGGGATCAAGGAGTAATTTTCATTTCCAACTCTTATTATTTAAAAGATACATTTTATAAGGCTATAGTTCTATAAATAGTGATTCCTCTGATGGATCAGTATAAAGCAAATTGGAAAGCTTCTGGAAATGATTCACCGTTTTAGATGCCATTAAGAATATTTGTAATTCATGGGAAGAGGTAAAAATATCAACATTAACATGAGTTTGGAAGAAATATGACTTTAAGGGGTTCAAGACTTCAGTGGAGAAAGTAACTGCCCATGCAGTGGAAATAGAAAGAGAAGTATAATTAGAAGTAGAGCCTAAAGATATGACTGAATTGCTGTAATCTCATGATAAAACTTGATAAAACATGATAAAACAGATGAGTTGCTTCTTATGAATAATCACAAATTTTTTTTGTTTGTTTGTTTTTTGAGATGGAATATATTCCTGGTGAAGATGTTGTGAACAGTGTTGAAATGTCAACAAAGAATTTAAATATTGCATTAACTTAGCTAATAAAGTGGTGGCAGGATTGGAGAGGATTGACTCTGCTTCTGAAAGAAGTTCTACTGTGGTTAAAATGCTATTAAATAGTGATACAGGAGCTAGAAAGAAATCATTTAAGCAGATAGTGAGGATGAGAGTCCTCTGTAAGGTTTCCTTTTAATAAAAAGCTGCTCCCAAAAAGCAGCTGTAAAACCGGGCTGCAGACATAGATAAGCAAGCTGGAAGCTTGCCTAGGTAAGTGCTGGAAGCCCTGCCAATAGAATACGGATACCTGGAACCAGGTATATTCAACATGGAGGTTCCGTCTTCTTTGTCTTTTCTTTGTCTCCATGGGTGCAGTACAAAAGCAGTCAACATGGGGGAGGCCAGGTAGAGACCGCATCTGCATAATAAAAGATGAGGGTGGGATGGCTAGCTTCTTCACACACTGTGCAAACGGCACACCTGGTCCAACTAATCTCTCATCCCCTATGTAAATCAGACACCACCTACTCAAGATCGTCTAAAACGCTGTGCATTTTACCACAGAACCGGAAGACCCACTCAGGAGCCCTCTCTCTGCAGGAGAGAGAGCTTTTCTCTTTCCTTTTTTTTTTTTTTTTTTGAGATGGAGTCTCGCTCTGTCGCCCAGGCTGGAGTGCAGTGGCACGATCTCGGCTCACTGCAAGCTCCGCCTCCCGGGTTCACGCCATTCTCCTGCCTCAGCCTCCCGAGTAGCTGGGACTACGAGCACCCGCCACCATGCACGGCTAATTTTTTTTTTTTGTATTTTTAGTAGAGACGGGGTTCACCATGTTAGCCAGGATGGTCTCGATCTCCTGACCTCATGATCCACCTGCCTCGGCCTCCCAAAGTGCTGGGATTACAGGCGTGAGCCACCACTCCCGGCCTGAACCTACACTCTTAAACTCACTTCTTGTGTGTCCACATCCTTGATTTCCTTGGCCTGAGACAATGAACCTCGGGTATTTGCCCCAGAAGACGATGCCGCTTCAAAAGCATCACATGCTACAAAGAAATATTTCATGAAGAGAAGAGTTCATCAATGAGGCCAATTTCATTGTTGTCTTATTTTAAGATATTTTCACAGCAACCACAATCTTCAGCAACCACCACCCCAATCAGTCAGCAGCCATCAACATGAGACAAGATTCCCTCCTGGCAAGATTACAATGATGACTTATTGAAGGCTTAGATCATTCTTAGCATTTTTTGGCAATAAATTATTTTTTGATTAAGGTATGCATATTGTTTTTTAGACATAATGCTATTACATACTTTATAGGCTACTGTATAAGTAAATATACCTTTTATACACACTGGAAGCCAATCAATTTCATGGCTCTCTTTACTGCCACGTGCGTGGTGTGGTGGTGATCCTGCAATAGCTACAGGGTGAGCCTGTACTTACAAAACAATCTGCACAGGTTTCCACACTTTGCTTGTTGAAATGGCATTAGGATCTAATGCACTTATAATCAATTATGTTTTGCATTTCATAAATTCTATTCAGTAAAAACCCACATGTTGGAAATAAAAATTAAGATCTTACTTTTATTAAGAGGAAAACACAGTCATAAATTTCCTACTATGTAGGAGAAAATTATTGGCCAAGGAAACTGTAGGGCCGATATTGAAATTAAGGCATGAAGCAGGCCTGGTGCAAAGCCTCATGTCTGTAATCCCAGAACTTTGGGTGGTCACGGTTGTTGGATCTCCTGAGGCCACAAGTTTAAGACGAGCCTGGGTAACAGAGAGAAACCCCATCTTTACAAAAAAGTTTTAAAAAGTAGCCAGGCATGGTGGTGCATGCCTGTAGTCCTAGCTACTTGGGCGGCTGAGGCAGGAGGATCGCTTAAACCCACGAGTTTGAGGTTGCTGTGAGCTATGATCGCACCGCTGCACTCCAGCCTGGGTGAGGGAGCAAGGCAGCAACTCAAAAATAAGAAGACATCAAACATTTTTTCTTTCTTTTTATTTGTGTAAAATCTGATTGGCTTTCATCTTTTTTTCCGTCAACCTACCAAGTAGTGCTTATTTGTACATGTATCATACCTATGTCTAATTTGATAAACCAAGTCCAGCATCTTTAAATTCACATAAATTGAGAGAATTAATTTTTTTCTGAAATTTTTAAGTGAGAGATTTTAACTGATTTAAATTTGTCTCCCCTTCCTCTCTTCCTTACACACATCTCACTTCACTATTAGCAGAATCTGTTTGTATTAAGTAATGTATTGGCCAGGCATGGTGGCTCACGTCTGTAATCCCAGTACTTTGAGAGGCCAAGGCAGGTGGATCACTTGAGGCCAGGAGTTTGAGACCATCCTGGCCAACACAGAGAAAACCTGTCTCTACTGAAAATACAAAAAAATAGCCAGGCATTGTGGCACACATGCTCAGTTCCAGCTACTTGAGAGGCTGAGGCAGGAGAATTGCTTCAACCCAGGAGACGGAGGCTGCAGTGAGCTGAAATCACACCACTTCACTCTAGCCTAGACAACAGAGTGAGACTCTTTCTCAAAAAAAAAAAAATAAAATAAAAAAGAAATACTAAAAAATAAATAAATGTATTTTTGCAGAAACATCTCTATTATGCAGCCTATCCAAGGATAATGAAATTCAAGAAATGTATACAGAAAAAGAAAGAGGAAATGGAGAGGAAGAAGAAAGCAAACATACCTGGCCCCTCCCACTCCCAAAATAAAAAGCTGAGCAGAGGTGAGAATGAAGGTCCAGTGAAGGTTAGATAAGAGCACACAGGGTGGGTAAAGGGGTTTCAAGAAATGTTTGGTGGGACGAATTATGAGGAAGAACAGGACTGTGAAGCCCCAGGTCTCCCAGCTTAACGCAAGCCATCACATTGCCCACCTCTCCTCTTCAGCAGAGGAAGTCTCTGTTCCCTGCCTTAGAACAATCAACTCTCCAAACAGGGTCCTAATGTGTATTTCTCCAAAAAATCCCTCACTGAATGACATTCTCCCACTAGACACTAAACCACCTACGTGTGTGTGTGTGTGTGTGTGTGTGTGTGGTGGGGGGAGGGAGTTTAAACTGCATTCCCAAAGATTTTTCATTAAAAAGTAATGAAAGCTCAGGAAATTTAATAAGTGCTTAAATTGAGAAAATAAGTCTTAATGGACATAGGGAACAACCTTGTGTCAACTCCCCTGGGAGATGGTTAACCTTTACGCTAAAAGAGGCTGGAAACTTGCAATGTTGACATTGTAATAGGGTTAAGGAAATAAATCTTAATATATAAAATACCGTGTCACTGGCTGTATTTGTATCTAAAGTTTTATATTTAATACATCATATCTCAAAGAGGAAAGCACCTGTTGCCGTATTTGGAGACACGAGCAGGTAGTGCACGGAACTCAGGGGTAAAGCAGGGGCTGATGTAGCCTTTTTGGAACTTAATGTTTCTGAAGTGAAACCTACAGGTTTTGCCAAGTGCATGCATGCAATCTATTTCTGTGTAAGGAAAATAAACTCACCTCAATGGATCCCAAGTATCAACTTTTGGAACAATGGAAGAAGTAGAATAAATGTGGTCTGTATAATTTTTCTGCCTGGAGTCTTCTGTGCAAAGGGATGAGAGTGAAAGAATCCATTCTCAAGCATGGATGTTACGTTTATATCCCATTGGCAGGTCCCTGCATCTGTTTGGACTAAGTGTTTTACCTGCAGAATGAGGGCTTAATGGGTAAGATGTAGATCCATCTATATTATTCTAAGAACATCTCTGTTATTCTAAGATCCAGCTCTATTTCATTCAAAACAGAATGAAACTGCTACTTGGAAGAATGATATTTAATAGCACAAAAGTTAATTATCTGAAATTGAAATAGGTGCAAAAGCAACAAAATATATCTCTTGGTTTTCACTTTGCTCACTCTTCTAAGAAAAAACGATTGCAATAAATAAAAATATCATACAATATTTAAGCCTTACATTATTGCTCATTTAAAAACCAAGGGTGCGCAGTGTGCTGCTTGGGCGAGAGAAATCCATAGTTAAATTGTCAGTATCCGATCAAATGAGAAGTGATTAGACTGAGGTGACCTCACACTATGTTAACGTGATTGAGGTTAAGAAGCAGGGAGTGAGATACTGTAAGTCTCCCTTTTGCATCATATAAATAGCAATAGAAAAGGTTTATTAATGAGTAATTGATAGAGGAAATGATACATAAAGGTAAATTCCAGGGCCAAGCGCAGTGGCTCATGCCTGTAATCCCAGCACTAGCATCGTCTGAGGGGTGACAGAGGAGGGTTGGGTACTTGCCTTTGTGTTATATACATCTTGATACCATTTACCTTTTTAAACTATGCCGTATTGATTGCCTAAGGGTACCATAAAAAAACACGAGAGTCTGGGTGGCTCAAACAACAGAAACGTGTTTCCTCACCGTCCTGGAGGCTGGAAGTCCCATATCAAGGTGTCGGCCAGGGCTGGTTCCTCGAGGCCTCTCTCAGTGGTTTGCAGAAGGCGTCTTCCCTCTATGTCCTCCCAAGGTCCCGCTGGACATGTCTGTGTCCTCAGCTCCTCTTCTTATCAGGACACCCCAAATCACGCCTCAATAAAAATGACTTTAAATGTCTGTGCCTGGAAGAGTTTGAAGTGAATTTAGTTTGAACTGAGCACTATTGAAGTGAATTTTAGAGACATCTCTTCTCTGCGTGGTCATTCTTTCAATTACTTAGAGTAAGAAGAGAGAAAATACAGTTTCCTGGTTAATAACAAGCTCTATGGACCCTGCCTACTCTGAGCAGGAAGTGGGAGAGAGCAATGTGGAGTTTGTCCATTGGCAAACATCTCCCCGCAGGAGGGAAGATGCCATGAGGAGTTGGCGGCTGAGAAAAGCAGCTGCTCCTTGACAAGGTCACCTCCTCACAGACACCCCTGGGCAAACGCCCTCACCCCTAACGTGAGTCCCTGTTCCTTCTCTCCAAGCGACTCACAGCAAATGGAAGGTCCCCCCTGTGCCTCAAGCTCCCGTGACTGGGGTTGCATGGACGGCTGATCCTCGAAGCGTCCTGTGTCCTCCTCCTTGTGCCTCAAGCTCCCATGACTGGGGTTGCATGGACGGCTGATCCTTGCAGCATCCTTTGCACAGCTCCTGTTTTCTAACTTCACTCTTGGAACAATGACCCAAAGCATAAACTCTTTGCAGCACTCAGCAGGTCGCTACCTGCATAACCCAGCATTGCCCAGCGGTATTAAAAGCATGACAGGTCTCACTGATCAAAAATGCGCCTTAGCAATGTTGATGGCTGAAAGCCTGGAGCCCGCACGTGCACCGTTGCTGCCTTCAGCCTGGACAGGATGAGCTCCTGAGCAGCTGCACAGCCCATTCTTTCTACGAGAAAGGAACTAACGGAGGGGTCTGGGGCGACAAGATCTCGCTGTCTAAGCAAAGCAAATGTCAGAGCTTTGCCTTTTCCGAGCTTGCTCCTACTGAGTTAACTCGAACCCGCCCACTCCGAGCTTGCTCCTACTGAGTGAACTCGAACCCGCCCACCAGCACTATTTTGCACGTGTCCAACTGCCCAGGAGAAAGAGGACATGTATTGTAGGAATAGCTGTGGTGCAAGTCACAGCATAGGCTCATTCATGACCACTTAGGAGGTCATTTGTGAGGAATTTGCTTTTCTCCCTTATCCTTTCAATGCCTTTGATTAAAAGAGTTTCAATTTTGAGTTATTTTCATCTCTGGGATCTTAACCATGAAACAGCTATACTTGGTTGCAGTCATTTGTACTCAATTTATAAATAAGACTATTTGGCCAGGGGGCGGTGGCTCACGCCTGTAATCCCAGCACTTTGGGAGGCCGAGGCGGGCAGATCACGAGGTCAGGAGATCGAGACCATCATGGCTAACACGGTGAAACCCCCTCTCTACTAAAAACACACACACACGAAAATTAGCCGGGCTTGGTGGCGGGCGCCTGTAGTCCCAGCTACTCGGGAGGCTGAGGCAGGAGAATGGCGTGAACCTGGGAGGCGGAGCTTGCAGTGAGCCGAGATCGCGCCACTGCACTACAGCCTGGGCGAGAGCGAGACTCCATCTCAAAAAAAAAAAAAAAAAAAAAGAATATTTATATTTATTTGCCATTTGTGGTTTATAAAGAACTGTGCCAGCTATTTGAGACATACAGAAAATCATTGAGTATCCTTAATTGAATTTACTTCCTAATTAGAAAAGTTCTTGTAATACAAATAACAATAATACAAAGTAAAACAGAACAAAACAAAATAAAACTGATAAGACAGCAATACAGACAGAAAGCCAGGAAAAATAGGGCCGCGTAGTCAGTGTGACCCTCTGTTGATCCAGAAAATGACATGATTCACAATTCCATGACGGAGTCCTCCTCTTCCATGGACGTAGGCTCCAAGCACAACGCCTTGAGCCGTGGTAATGTAGCCGCCCAGTGGGTTCACCTTGCCGGTTGCCTGGACTCAGCCAATTTATCAAGACAGGGAAATTGCAATAGAGAAAGAGTAGTTCATGCACAGCCAGCTGTGTGGGAAACTGGAGTTTTATTATGACTCAGATCAGATTCCCTGATCTGGATTCGGGGATCAGAGTTGTAAAGGATAATTTGGTGGGCGGGGAAGGCCAGTGAGTTGAGAGTGCTGATTGGTTTGGTCAGAGATGAAATCATAGGGATCCGAAGCTGTTTTCTCGTGCAGAGTCAGTTCCTGGGTGGGGGCCACAACGGATGAGCCAGTTTGCAGGTCTGGGTGGTGCCAGCTGATCCATCAAGTGCAGGGTCTGTAAAATACCTCAAGCACGGATCTTAGGAGCGCTTTAGGGAGGGTCAGAATCTTGTAGCCTCCAGCTACATGACGCCTAAACCATAATTACTAATCTTGCGGCTAATTTGTAGGTCCTACAAAAGCGGTCTAGTCCCCAGGCAAGAAGGAGGTTTGCTTTGGGAAAGGGCTATTATTGTCTTTGTTTTAAACTATAAACTAAGTTCCTCCCAAAGTTAGTTCAGCCTATACCCAGGAAGGAACGAGGACAGCTTGGAGGTAAGAAGCAAGACGGAGTAAGCTAAGTTAGAGCTCTTTCACTGTTTCTGTCATAATTTTGCAATGGTGGTCTCCTTAAGGGGCACACACACACTGCCTTCCTACGAGGGACTGGGACATTGGGGTTTCTCTGACTGGGGCTGATGCTTCTTTTGGAAACCTTAGACGAATTCTGTGGGAGGAGAAAAAAAAAATGTCTTTTTATTTCCTCAGTTAGAAAAATGGCCACCAAAGACACGCTTGCCTGGGAGCAGCACAATTAGGCCCCAGGCTTTCTGATGCGTGTTAAATAAAGCCAGTGAATTGATCAGAGGCTGTTTTGCACGTGGCATTGGTGTCTGCTGAGTGAGCAGCAGACCACTCACCACCAAAGAGTCTCTGTGGGGACCACGGTCCCACTGTCGATAAGTAATAAGCACATGTATGCATGCAAAATATCTCTTCCTAGGAATTGTGGATGGCTTACAATCAACACACCTGTCTAGTCAACTCACTCCTGGCCTTATATGTATGCACAAGAATGAAATGAGGTGAGCTTCATTCAATACCACTCGCCTTGTGCACAGAGCCTGTGATGGGTCACGATTGGGCGGGCAGTCACGTGATTCCTGGCTTCTAACTCCATGTAGCAGGTGGTCCACCTGGAAGGTGTGGATGGGAGTCTTCTTCGTGTGGACGGACTCTACAGACTGCATGCCCAGTCCTTCCGGAGGGGACGCACAGCACGCCGGGCACGCCCAGTCCTTCCAGAGGAGACGCACAGCACGCCGGGCACGCCCAGTCCTTCCGGAGGGGACGCACAGCACGCCGGGCACGCCCAGTCCTTCCGGAGGAGACGCACAGCACGCCGGGCACGCCCAGTCCTTCCGGAGGGGACGCACAGCACGCCGGGCACGCCCAGTCCTTCCAGAGGAGACGCACAGCATGCCGGGAATGAGCAGGCCCCTGTTCTTCGGTATTTCCTTTTTCTAGCTAATTTAACCAGAAATTGTGCCAAATCCTGAAAGCTTTTTAAAATTATTATTATTAAATAAGAATCTCTGATTCCCTGAGCCACGACACAGGAAACAAACAAACAAAACCATGGCTACTTCCAGAAGGTAGAACTGTGCTTCCTAGAGAAAAGTCTGCTCAGTGATTCATCGTTCTCTCTGATGAATGAGGGGTGCTTCCCAATGAGCTGCAGATTTCTCCTCTTTGCCCCCTCTTCTCTCTATCCCCTGAGTTCCCCCTCCATGCCCTTGGATGCTGCACCCACTTCCTACTTTCTGGAACTACGCTTTTCTCCAGCTAGCAGTGTCTTCTTTGAAATATAACTGACCTACCATTCTGACATCAGTTCTTCACTTATCTGTGATCCCGACCAATATCACAGAAGCTCAAGGGGAGGGTACACAAACAGAGAAGAGGATCAGATTTTTCCCCAGATTAAATTGAATGTTTAATATTAATCGTAATATTTAAAATTCAAATTTTCAATTATTATGCACTACCTCAAATAAATGTCCAATCGATCTGTGCAAATATCACTATTTAAAATTTACAGAAGAAGAAACTAAAATATAAATATTTTAAGACATTCATTCAAGAATAACATAATTGTAAGTGGCAGACCCAGAATATAAACTCACAACTCCCAATTCTTTTTTTTTTTTTTTTTTTTTTTGAGACAGAATCTTGCTCTTGTCGCCCAGGCTGGAGTGCAGTGGCACAATCTTGGCTCACCGCAGTCTCCGCCTCCCGGGTTCAAGCCATTCTCCTGCCTCAGCCTCCAGAGTAGCTGGGATTACAGGTGCCTACCACCAAATCTGGCTAATTTTTGTACTTTTAGTAGAGGTGGGGTTTTACAATGTTGGTCAGGCTGGTCTCGAACTCCTGACCTCAGGTAATCCACCCACCTCGGCCTCCCAAAGTGCTGGGATTACAGGCGTGAGCCACCAAGCCTGGTCCACAACTTCCAATTCTAAGTCTCCCCTGATTGTGGCATTCTGGCAGCCAGCATACAGGACTCACTGACGTGTGGATAAAGTCATCATATGTCACATATAAAAATAAACATTCAGTGACAAAATAAATGTTCATCAGCCAATTAAGAGGCAAGTTATTCATAGAGGTGTTATATTTCCAAACTTTGGGGCAATTACAGTGTTTAGATGTGGTAAGATTTAGTTTGCATTCTTAAGCACTTTGGAACTTAGCAGATGGTGTAAGTTATTTTATAAAACAGAAGAGATATTTTACAACTGAATCAAAATGTGTATTTTGATACTCCAGGTTTTACCAAGGAAATTAGATAATCCTGAATCTGTTTTGCTCTGTAGTTGTTTTTTTAATTAAAAAATTTAAATAAAGATTTTAAAATTATAAAAGTTTTAAATTTGCAGAAAAAGTACAGACAATACAGAGACTTCCCCTATATTACACACTCAGCTTCCCCTATTAATAATAACTTAACTTCATGTGGTACATTTGTTCTGATGAATAGACCAAGGTTGATTTTTATTAATTAACTAAAGCCTACCCTTTAATCAGGTTTACCTATTTTTTATGGGGAGTCCTGTCCCTTTCCCACAATCTCATAAGCAGGATCCATTTAATCCACATTACATTTAATCCTTGTGTCTCCCTAGGCTCTTCTTGGCCATGACAGTTTTCCAGACTCTTTATTTTTCATGACATTGTCAGTTTCGGGGAGGGAGTACTGGTCAGGACTTTTGTGGAATATGCTTCAGTTGGGATTTATCTGAGGTTTTTCCTCATGACTCGACAGGGTCAGGAATGCCTGGGAGCAAAATTACAGAAGTAAAGTGCCATTTTCATGAAACCATATTGCGTGTACATGCCATCATCACAACTTTGCCATTTTTGACGTCAAACGTGAGCACCTGGCTGAGATGGTACTTGTTGGGTTTCTCCTATGTAAAGTTCCTTTTTTTTTTTAACTTTTCTACTGTAATCTGGGAGGAAAGGATTATGCTCAGCCCACATTTACTGACTCCATAGGCCTTCCTTTTCCATCTTCATAGTTCTGCCAAAAGGTTATCTAACTGGAGTCACACAGTATATGGCCTTATTAGGCTGCTTTTCATCTAGCAATATGCACTGAAGAGTCATTCATATTTTTTTGGCCAGATATCTAATAATACTTTTATTATTGAATACTATTCATTGCATTGATATACTATAATGTGTTTATTTATTCACTAATTTAAGAACATCTTGATTGCTTCCAGTTTGTGGAGATAATGAATGAAGCTGCTAAAAATAATGTTTTTCACGAACAGAAGTTTTCAAATCAGTTGGGTAAATACCTAGGGACACAGTTGCTGGGTTCTAAGAGAAGACTATATTTAGCTTTGTAACAAATTTGTGAAGCTGTCTTCCAAAGTAGCTGTAACACTTCCAATCTCAGCTGCAGTGAATGAGAATCCCTATTGTTTCATAGGATTTCCAGCTTTAGTTATTGCCAGCTTTGAGGATTTTAGTCATCCTGTACATTGTAGTATTCCATTGTTATTTTAATGTGCAATTCCCAGATGACAAATGATGTTGGACATCTTTTCATATATTTATTTGCCATTAGTGTATTTTCTTCAGTGAGGTGCTTGTTTAGAACTATTGTCCATTTTTTCATTGAGTCGTTTTCTTACTGGTTGAAATAATTTTTGTGTATTTTAGAAATAAGTACTTTAGCAGATATAAATGTGTTTTCAAATATTTTCCCAGTCTTTGATTTGTCTTTTTATTCTCTTAACAGTATCTTTCAAAAAACAAAAATTTTTAATTTTTACTTTGATGAATTGTGCTTTTGGTGTTGTATCTAAAAATGCATCACCAAATCCAACAGCACCTAATTTTTCTCCTATGTTTTCTTCTAGTAGTTTTATAATTGTTCCTTGCACATTCCCATCTAAGTTCCTTTATTTATTTATTTATTTATTTATTTATTTATTTATTTATTTTTGATACGGAATCTTGCTCTGTCACCCTGGCTAGAGTGCACTGGGGCAATCTTGGCTCACAGCAACATCTGCCTCCCAGGTTCAAGCATTCCTCCCACCTCAGCCTCTCAAGTAGCTGGGATTACAAGCATGCACCACCATGGCTGGCTAATTTTCGTATTTTTAGTAGAAACAGTGGTTTCACCATGTTGGCCAGGCTGGTCTCGGACTCCTGACTTTAAGTTATCCACCCGCCTCAGGCTCCCAAAGTGTTTGGATTATAGGCGTGAGCCACTGTGCTAGGCCTCGGTTTCATTTTAAGTTAATTTCTGTGGAAAGCATAAGGTCTGTGTTTAATTGAGGTCATTTCTCCTCTTTTGGATGCCGGAATGTTCCAGGACCATTTGCTTAAACACTGCATTTTCTCAACTAAATTGCTTGGCTCCTTTTTTGAATAATCAGTAGACTACCTTTGTGTGGCTCTGCTTCTGGGTTCTCTGTTCTGTCCCATAGATCTATGTCCAATATGGTGCTGATTTGATTATGGTAGCTTCATACAAAGTGTTGAAGTGTGGTAGTGATGGTCTTGGAATTTGTTCTGCTTCAGAATCTTGTGGCTACTCCAGGTCTTTTGCCTTCCATATATACTTTAGAATCAGTTTCTTGATATCTATGAAATACCATGCTGGGATTTAGGCTGAGATTGGGCTGACTCTGTAGATCAGATTGGGGAGATTTGATAATAGTATAGAATCTTTACAATCCATGAACGTGGAATACCTCTCTAGTTATTTAGGGATTATTTTTCAATCTTTTATCAGAGTTCTGTGGTTTTCCACATACAGATCTGTGCATAGTCATTAGATTCATATGTAAATATTTATCTTTTGGTGCTATCGTAAGTTTTTACATTTTAAATTCTAATGACTTACTGCTGGTATACAGGTAGGCACTTGGCTTTTGTATATTAACTTTTTATCCCATGACCTCACTGCTCACTTACTAGTCCCAAGAGTTTTGGGGACAGTGTTTGGGATTTTCTCCATAATCAATTTTGTCATTTACAATGAAGACAGTTTTATTTCTTCCTTTTGAATCTGTTTATTTTCCTTCTCCTCTCTTGTCTTCTCGTTTCCTTTTCTCTTAATTGGCTGGTTCTTCTGGTACCTGCTGGATGTGAGTGGTGAATGAAGACATCACAGCTTTGTTCCTGGTCCTGTTGGTGAAGCATCCATCCCTCACCCTTAAGATGTGAGCTCTGCCTTTCCTGAAGCATTGACTTTCTTATCATTCTGTTATGTCCTCATTTATTTCTTTTAATCTTCCTTGTTCTGAAGTTTTTTTTTTTTTTTCGTCTAAAATTAATGCAGCTTTGCCACCTTTCTTTGACTGGTGTTTGCCTGCTGTATCTTCTTCTTTCCCTCTTCTTTACCCTGTCTGAGCCTGTGTATTTTCAATGGGTTTCCTCTAGATAACATAGAGTTAGGTTTTGGTCTTTTTATTTCTTCTGATCATTCTTTTAATTGCTGTATTTAAACTATTCACACTGAAGGTGACAGTTGCTGTAGGTAGGTCGATATCAGCCATATTAGTAACTCTTTCCTATTCATTGCCTGTGTTCTGTGCTCCCCCCTTTCCTGTCTTTTCTGGTTATTATTGAGCATTTTATATGATTTCATTTTATCTCCTCTCAGCATATCAATTATATTTCTTTTTAATTTTTGCCAGTTACCCTAAATTTTCCAGTATAGATTCTTTAATTAATGTAAGTCATGTTTCAAGTAGCGTCATATCACTTCCTGCGTAGTGCAGGGACTTTGTAAGCATTCTCCTGT
Organism: Homo sapiens; assembly: GCF_000001405.40. Taxonomy (NCBI): domain Eukaryota; kingdom Metazoa; phylum Chordata; class Mammalia; order Primates; family Hominidae; genus Homo; species Homo sapiens. The sequence goes on along the minus strand of NC_000010.11, from coordinate 2,310,208 downwards.
CCTCCCTCTTCCCTTTTATGACATTGCTGTCACTCATTTCGCATATTTATGTTACAATACACCATTATTTTTATATTTATACCATTTTCTTTTAGTCAATTATAAGTGGAAAAATAAATATTTTATTTTACTTTTACTTATTCTTTCTTTGAAGTATTTTCTTTGTTATAAAGATTGGAATTTCTGACCTATTTTATATTTATTTTCTGCCTGGAAAACTGCTTTTAACATTTTTTGTGAAAGAGGTCTGATGGTGAAACTGAGTTCTCTTATTTTTGTTTGCCTTGGAAAGTGTATTTTTCTTCTCTTTCATGAGATGATTTTGCTCAAGGTAGAATTCAAGGCTGATGGGTTATTTTTTGTTCACTTTAAATGTTTCACTGCACTGTCTTTTTGATTCCATGTCTTCCAATGAGAAGTTTGCTGTACTTCTTATCTTTGCTCATTTTTAGTGAAGGTATCTCCCTATCCCTATCTCCACCCCAATTTCCTTCTAGACTTCACTTTTGTCTCTTGCTTTCTGCAGTTTTGATGTGAGAAGTAGGTATCCTTATTTCAGGACTTACACTACTTGTTGTTCTCTGTCCTGGATTTGTGGTTTAGTTCCTGTCATTAATTGTTGACAATACTCTACCATTAGTACTTCAGATAGTTTCTCTGTGTTTTTCTCTCTTTCTTCTTTTTCTAATACAACTATGCATATATTACACATTTTGAATTGAAGGCTTATGAGTTTGTAAAAAGATCTGACAATCAGCTAAAGCTATTTCCATAAAGATATTGTTTAAAGATATGCTTTTGTTTTGAAAAAATAAAGACTCCAAGGACATGACAAAATACTATCTCAAGTTGCTTTCTAGAGTAGAATTCTTCACCATTGATAGAACTGGGATATAGAGAGTGGTTTTCCTTACCCATTAGGGTAGGGTTGGCAACATTTTATCTCTTCCAGGTTTCCATATGCTCAATGCTTTCTCTAGGCTGTTGAACTTATAAAATGCAGTTACAAAACGACTTCAACTTAATGAGCTAATCTACTATTCTATTATCAAAGTCACTTTGGGGATGATTTTGAGTGATTGGTTATTATTTTAATTATGGGTCATATTTTCCTGCCTTTTAAAAATGTCTTCAGCCGGGTGCAGTGGTTCACGCCTGTAATCCCAGCACTTCGGGAGGCCGAGGCGGGCAGATTGCCTGAGCTCAGGAGTTCGAGACCAGCCTGGGCAACACTGTGAAACCCCATCTCTACTAAAATACAAAAAACTACCTGGGTGTGGCGGCATGCACCTGTAGTCCCAGCTACTCGGGAGGCTGAGGCAGGAGAATCACTTGAACCCAGGAGGCAGAGGCTGCAGTGAGCCGAGATCACAGCACCGCACTCCAGCCTGGGTGACAGAGCGAGACTCTGTCTCCAAAAAAAAAAAAAAAAAAGAAAAGAAAAGAAAAGAAAAGAAAAAAATGCCTTCTGAGATGTTTGTATGTCAGACCTTGTGTACTTGACCTTGGTGATGTTGGATATTTCTGTATTCTACCAAATATTCTAGACCTTTTTTCTGGGATGCAGTTAAGTGACTTAGATGTAGTAAACCTCTACCAGGTTTTGCCATTAAGCTTTGGTAGATAGAACTAGAACAGTATTTAGCCAAGTGCTAATTTCTTCACTTCTGGGGCCCTTCTGGGTAAACTCTCTCTGAGCATTAAGCTTGGGCAACCATAGGGCTCACCTCATCTGCTTCCCATCTCTCAGGAGCCACTGCCCCTCACTGCCTGATGTCCAGTAACTCTAATTTTATTGCTTCATGCAGTATTTTTCAGTTATTTCAGAAAAAAAAGCAAATCCAATCCCTGTTGCCTCATCTTAGCTGAAGTAGACTCTTGCTTGTGCATTTTTGGGGGTAAAACATTTGAATATAATTCTAACTTTGGATGGTTGTATAGTGTATGATAAAATGCAGAAGACATGCCTGGGAGGAGATGTACTGTTTCCTTCAGAACAAGGATAAAATTTTAGATTCTATTATGCCTCCAAGATTTAAAAAGTTTATTTCTATCTATAAAGAACAGAAAAATATCATCTAATTATATTTATATTAAAAGTATTGTTTGTCTTCTTATTAAATAACCCCTAAACATCTTATACAATGCTAGATTTATATAAAAATGCATATGACTTATTTATGTGTTTTGTTTAACCCTCATACAAGATATGCATATTTTGTTATCATTACAAAATAAAGAAGGAAAGCAAATTTGGATAAAAAGTGGCTTAATTAAAGTGATTACATAGTGAGTAGATAATCTGTAATATAAAACTATCAGACTTATTCCTGAATTTACTTCTCTTTCACTAAAACATTATGCTTTAAACACATTTTCTCTTTCACAAATTTGTTTAAAGAATAAGTTTGATTAATACATTTGTTACCTTTCCCTCTGATGTTTTACATTAAACTTAAGATGTGAAGCTTGAATTATTTTATGGTATTTCTCAAATAAAAGCCTTAACAACCTATGATATAATTACAAATCATACCTATAAGGCCTCATTGAAAGAGCCACAAAGGGAACATTTAAGTTAATAACCCATGGTTAGTATTTGAAAGAAAAACTATTAAGATTCAAGCTCAGTGATAAAGCAGGCCTGTTTCAGTAAAAGTTCTAAGAGAAAAATATGAGTCCAAACTCCTAAGGAGATTATACTGCTATAGATTGGAACATAAATGCCCAAGAAGACAGATGATGAATATCCTTTAAAGTTTGTGAATCTTTAAATGCAAGCTGGAAAAATAAGCCTGCATTGAATTTTTATGATATTCTCTGCTTACTGGATCCGATAAAGCATAAAATCAATATTTTTTCACAGAATTCAGTTATTATTGTAATTTCGAGTTAGAACTTGATAATTAAATAAATGTAAGTGCTTTTCTTTTCTAAACCATTTGGAAAAATTATTATAAAAACCTTATGCAGATATCGATTGAGACACATAGTAACCATACACATAATCTTTTTTAGTACATCACTAGATTCTCCACTGGTAACCTTAATAGAGACTAAGATGAATGCTAATTTAGATACATTTGGTGGAAAACAGCTCTTTCCTCCATTGAGATATGATTAATAATTATAATACATAATGCCTAAACACTGTCTAATGAGCCTGAAAACACTAAGTTAAATAAACACATTAACCTTGTAGCCTGAGTTAGAGTTAGCATTCTATAGAACCAGACATTTCCCCATGGCACATGCAATATTAATGAGATTTCACGCCTGGACTAAGACAAAAGGCTTTCCTTCTTGCAGTTCTATTTCTTTCAACATTGGTTATCAATGCAGGTGCAAAAATTTTAGTTGAATAGTAATTTTATTCTGAGAGGAAATAGATAACAGGTCATGGTAGGGAACCTCATTGTAGAGGGTTAGTTTGACTGCAAACTTGCAAGGGCTGTTTAGGAGGAAGATAGACAGGTGGAAGTCACCACTGTTCCTTCAAAACTTCGTCTAGAATTGTCTTCAGACAAGTCTCATTCACAAATTCAAGACAGCCTGGCTGACATGTCGAAACCCTGTGTCTAGTAAAAATACAAAAATTAGCTGAGCATGGTGGTGGGCACCTGTAATCCCAGCTACTCGGGAGGCTGAGGCAGGAAAGTCACTTGAACCCGGGAAGCTGAGGTTGCAGTGAGCCGAGATCACACCACTGCACTTCAGCCTGGATGACAAAGAGAGACTCTGTATGCCCCCAAAAAATAAACGATAAAAAAGAAGGCTTTTCTTCTTTGAGTGATAATGTTCTTTATTGATCTCAAAAAATTGTAAATAATTCTGTTTGGCATAGAGACACCAGTCTAGTAAGATAATCACTTCTCATTTTCATCTCTCTACATATACAGGAACAAACCATCTGGAGAAAGAGCTGGAATGGAGCCCATCAGGTCTGCTGTTACATTTAATTTAGCCAGTTTTTATATGATGTGAATTGCATTTGAATCCCTGATCACTCTTAAGTCACTGATTTGAGTTCTGCACTGCAGTGTATTATAGTTTAAATACTGATGAAAGATATATGTTTATTTGTGTTTATGACTTAAATTGCCCATATCATTCAATAGAAAAAATAAATTGAATTAGAATAAATTCAGTCAAATGGCAAACATATTCTATATATGCATAATGTTATAGAGTTAAAAAAAAGCATACATTATGTTCTGCCATTGGCCCCTTATAATGTCGTGAGGAAAACAGACATTAATATAGTCAACAATAACGTCCTCAAAATATGATGACTTGTAATTCTTGACCAGATCTTCTTCATTCTTTCTGTCACATTTTAGTTAATTCTTTCATCAATCCTCACAGAGATATTGCAATAATTTCCAAGTGGATCCTTTTGTCTGAAGATTTTTCCCCCTTCAAATTATCTCTAAGAATGATCTCCTGTTTTTATCCCAATGCTAAGCCTCCAGTGGTGCTTCACTGCTTCAGGAAGATGCATGGCTCAGCAGGACACACAGGGCTCAGCAGGTCACAGCCATAGGTAAGCAACCAAAGCACCCTAGACCCCACCACCTCTTTGAATAAAATTACCCAGTCATGCCAGGCTTCTCACCTTTCCCAGAAGGAGTAGTACTTCACACACACACACACACACACACACACATGCACGTGTACACACATATATACAAACACATTCAGACACATACGCATGCACATACACAACACACACATGCACGCTACACATACACATACATACACACATATACAGATACACACATACACACACGCACATACACACACACTACACATACGCACACACACACACATATATGCATGCGTGCATCCCTCTTTCTGTGGCATCCCTGACTTTTTGGAGATTGAGTCATTTAATTATTTGTTTAAATGGCTTTGTAAATGTTCTAATGTCCAGAATATTTGCTAGACAATAACAACGTTTTCCATGGTTTATTAAGTAAATAATTGTCCTAATAGAAATATAAATTGTTACAGAAGTGCATAAAATGAAATTATTTTTCCAAATGGAGTTAAATAAGAGTATATTGAAGGAATTATATATATTAACCTTGTCTTCAAAAATGAGTAGATTCTCACGGGCAAAGACGAGAGGATGGATAAACAAGGATTTGCCAAGGAGAAGAGGCCAATGTCATATTTTCTCCCTCAGTGTGTCCGGATGGGATTGGAAAGTCTCCCTGGCCCACATAGGTAAGAATTCTGTTGCTCATCTTCTGCACACCCCACCTCTATTCTCCCTCACTTACTCAAGCCTAGGTTTATCCAAGCCAGCCAAGTGGCCAGGTAGATAATTGTATTTCTTAAATTCTTTTGAAGTTATGCCTGCCTACTTAACACATCTCTGGAAGAAGGCATACTGAGATTTCCGAGAAAACATTGCTTTCTGTACATGGATGTTGCCTTCTCTTTTACTGTATCTCCTTCCCTTCTTTGGCAAGTTGTCAAAGCATGGTGGATGATACAGTGGATAAAAGAGGCTGCAGTATGAGCTGATAAAATGATATCAGCAATAAACTGTATGCATAGTTCTTGTTACTAAAAAAAAAAAAAGTCATCAGATTTGCTTAATTTACTGTTTGTTTTTTACAAAAAAAACAGTTTTTGACCAAAACAAGTTGATAATAGATATTGCCATAGACTAAGAAAAAAGACATGTAATACTCCAGTTAATAAAATATTTGGAGATGCATTTAGCAACTTCTAGTTTTACTAGTAGCCTAGTTACTGTCTTGGGGACCCACCAATCAGCTGATAATGTGTGTGAAATATGAAGAAGTATATTGACAAAACATACCGGTGATTGATTTTGGCCCAACATCAAACTAATAGCACATTGAAAACAGGGTATCAAGAGTCAGTAATGAAGGTCTTTTTGACAAAAGCTAGAAGACGTTGTATCAGTGTTAATATTTACCATCCCTTATATGAATACACGGATTGATACATAGAATCACAATAGAACCTGGATTCACTATGACCCAACCAATCAGATCACTCAGTTTTGGAGAATAAACTTTTTGAGGAAAATTTGAAACTGCTGGCTGTAATAAGTATTTAGCCAGTAGTTTCAAAGATTTTGGTGTGTATCACCCTATCTTCGGAAAGCAAATAATGTAACCATCTTAACTAAAAGAAAATTAAATCAATAAGCATTTTGCATGAGAAGCATGCAGTTGGGTGCTGAATTTGAATGTGTGAAGCACTCTACAGCAGAGAGAAAATGTTAAGTACACTTTTAAAAACCAGGTACAGTGTCATCAGGAGAAAGGGCAATTCCATGCTACTAAATACAATCAAATCAAAACCCGAGAACACATAGCAAGAAGATCTTAAACCTGAAGACAAGTCCTTAGATGCTTCTGGCATTGCCTCTACTCACACACCAAGTGGGTGTGGTGGTGCCTGGTTCATATCTTCGGGAACTCTCTTTCTTAGGACTACAATGTGTTTTCTCAGTTTGCCAAAGGATGCCGTCTGCCTGCAGGTGCGCTGTGGGTTCAACTCTGACCCCTGATGCTGCCTTTTTTAGGGTGTTTCCTCTGCCCCAAGGGTTGGACCAATGGGAACTTCTTTCTGGAGATCCCTTGCCAGTTGGGTTTGTTTATAACCCACCAATGAGAAGCTTTGAAGATATTTCAAAGATGAAAGAGAAGCAGAAGCCACATTGTGACTCCCCCAAAGGCACAGGAGGAATGGTCAAGACTCAACAGACAGGAGAATGTGGAGCAAGCTGGGGCTTCCCTGCAGGGCTTGGATGATCTCTGCTGCTCTCCTGTGGCTTCTGTAGTTTCCCGGTGCTCTGCAAGTGATCAGCCAACGTAAGGTGATGCCTTGGAATTCCTCAACTCTTTTATTGCTTTTGTGGGCACCACATTTCCTGTGTTAGAGTCCCTCCTGCTCAAGATACCAAAAGTGACACCACCCTAAGATAGGGAACCACAGACCTTGAACTGCCTTGAATACCCTCAAAATGACCAAGTGTTGAGGATTTCATTTACTCACTGAAATTCCTTACTTTGACTGAAATCTACTGCATCGTTATTTTTTAGTAAATTTCTCATTGTTAAATAATGGTAATTAAATCCACCATGTAAGCCATAGAGGAAAATAATTTCAGTATACTTTAGTATCATATTAACAGAAAATAAATGCATGGACCTTCAATGGATCCAATACTAGCCATCATTTAACCAACTGTCAATAAAGAGGTGCTTGTGATATCATTCTACCCATATGTGCCTTACTTAGCTTTTTGGGGAGGAGATCGTGGATAAAATGTGCTATTTTAGAAATTAGAAGATCCGACAAGGATAGAATTATCCATCTAAATGGCTCATTTAATAACTCCAGTGGAGGTCCTTGAAGACTATTTCTCTTCACTCTACTTCCTTATTTTGCTCCAAAAAAAATCTGGCTTAAGACAGGTTCCTGAGAAGCAGAGTTTGAAATAGAGGTGCTTGTGTAAAGGGTATATTGAGGAGTGCGGTCAGCAGAGACCAGTGAGAAAGCAAAAAAGCAGGACAAAGCAGGGGACTAAAATACCCACAGTGGGGTGTAGACTGCAGCCTGGTTTAGCTGGCTCCCATGCGAAGCCCCGGGGTGTGCACAGCATCCCACAGCCTTTCCACCTTGAGACCAAGGGACTTCCAGACCTTCTTGTCAGTTTGCTATAGGCTGTAGGGTGCCCCTAATTGGAAATGGACACAATCTCCCAAGCATTTCTCAGGAGTCAGCCCATGCCAGAGTGAGGGCAACTGTCTGGGAAAAATTTTTTAAAGCAGCTATGAGTGGTTAGTACTTAAAACTCACAACAGCTGAGGCCTGGAGTTAGGGTCCCTTGAAGGGAATCAAGGCAAGTCACTATAACGTTAATCCACTATCAGAGTCATTGCTGTTTTTGAAGAAATTGCATGTGTTTCTACAGCCTAGGCATCAAAAGGACATGAAAGATGAGCTCATAGGTGTTCCTGATTCTTCTTTCTCCATCATCCTATTTATTACTGATTATTTGATGCCTCCACTTTACTTTGTTTTTCTCCTCTGATGTCTTTATGTAAGCATAAGGAAATGCAAATACACAGCCGCATGCACCCTTTGCTTTCCTTCTGTGCAGGATCCAGGACAGCACAGCATGTCGGAGTTCACTGCTCACTGTTCACTGTGATGTCAGCCCATCTGCATTGCCATAAAGTAATCTCTAAGACTGAGTGATTGATGAAGAACACAGGTTTGTTTTGGCTCATGGTTCTGCAGGCCATATAGGAAGCACAGTGCTGGTATCTGCTACTGGTGAAGCCTCAGGAGGATTCCAGTCATGGCAGAAGGCAAAGGGAGAGCCAGCATGTCCCACAGTGAGAGAGAGAGCAAGATAGAGAGTGAGGGAGAGCCAGCGTCCTTTAAACAACCAGGGCTTGCATAGACTTACAGAGTGAGAACTCACTGGCTTCCATGGAGTGAGTGCCAAGCCATTCGTGGGGATCCACCCACATGACCAAATGCCTCCCGTCAGGCCCCACCTCCAACACTGGAGATCACATTTCAACATGAGACTTGGAGGGGACAGATACCCAAACAATGTCATATGCTTTGCTTTTCTCACGTGCGACTATATTCTAGAAGTCTTTCCATGTCAGTACACAGAGACTATCCCCATTATTTCAGCTGTGCCAAGGAAACATCATTGACCGAGATAGCCATTTCTCACTGGACTGTCACTGTAGAGACATTAGCTCATCCATGTTCGTAAAACTCCATTCACGTGGACACACATCGTGTGTTAGTGCTGCTTCATCAGATATCATGTTAGCAAGCAGCCAGTGCAAAAAAAAAACTCAACCTACGTGAAGCACCAACATATTGGCCATCCTGGATGTGTGTTGTGAAATCAGGTGCATGTGACGTAGACATACCTGTGAAAAATTGCATTTTAGATGTATTTGTTAATGAAACTACAAATAATGTTAAAATTTTTAATGCAACTCAAAAATAGTCCAACAGATGGACTGTGCAACGAAGGAATAGAAATAAATAAAAATCATGAAATGTCTCATTGTTCTTCCCTGCTATGAATAAAAACAAGAATTTTGAAACACTACAGTATGCTCATGTCATAAAACATAGTTCAATTTATGTCAATTGAATGTAATAGTCTTCTGATTGGCTTACATCCCATTATATTAAACTTCATTTGTATCTATCTCCGACCTTTGATAAATCAGCTCTTGGCAAAAGCCTAAGGATAAGGGATACTTTATGATACACCATCACAGAACACCTGATCCGACTGGTTTTCTCTTGTGCAGCCATAAACCAAATTCCTATTGATGACTGATACAAGTGAAATTTTACTGCACTATGTTCATCTTTATATTCTGTGATGAAGAAAACATCCTGATCTATGAAAGATAAATATGCTTATTTTGCGATTCTTATCAACATGTATCACATTGAATAGAAACAGTAATAATTAATAATAATAATAAAGTGCCAATATGTGTATATTCTCAAGTTAGTGCAAAATGTATCTTACTGAAAATTGCTTGAATTAGAAAAGCAAGCCAAGAGGGCCTCTTCCTCTCTGGGGTATTGCAGTCTTTAAAAAGCTTGAGACTGTGGAACTTGATACTATTCATCCTCCTTTTTGACCTTAGCCAAGAAAACCTTCTTACATGCTTGTCTCTTGCCCAAGTAGATTAATGAATTCAGGATATAATAGATCCCTGAAGTGATTTGCATGTATTGATTAAATGTCATGAGTAAAATGCTGGAGGTTGAATTACTAGAGACACAGGAAGTGCAGAAAGCACAATTGTAAGCATTGTTCAAATAAATTACTTGGCAATTCTTCTTGACATATGATTATATTCTTTACATTTACCCCAACAGCTGCGTAGGTAGTGAGAGTGTGTTGTGTAACCGCAAGAGAGAAAGACGGCTGAGGAGGGGCTCTATCACTTTGGGGGACTTTGGCTCTAGAAAATTCCTCATTATTTTCCCAGAACTATAAAACAAATGACCCTTGGTTCTAAGATTAAAGAACATTTAATAAGAAGCAGACATTTCAAAATAGAGACTGGCAGGAAGTGCACAAACAAAACTGAACTGCAATTAGAAGACTTTGTTGTAGACCACCTCAACAATGTTGACTGAACATGGAGAGGGATGAATGAAAAATAAAGCCCCCCACTAGGCTAAGAGGGCCCTAGACAGAGAATATATTTACACAAGGCAAATAGTAGCTTATGTTAAAGTTCACTCAGGTACCAGTGTCCAGCACCCTTAGTCCTCTCTTTGCAGTTCCTTAGAACGGTTCTCTTAGTTCGGCAGTTTGTTAAAGTTCACGCAGGTCCCAGTGTCTGTCTGCCACCCTAGCCCTCTCTCTGGAGTTCCTTAGAATGACTCTCAGGTGGGCAGTTTTGGGTCAGCTTCTGCCAGGTCAGAAGAGCTCCAGGCTTCCTTTTCACATGTTTATCCCAAACAACACAGGAAGCCACATCACTTATTTCCTGGCACCAGTTCATGCCTTGCCCAACAATGCATCCCATGACTGTCACCCCATGCAGAGCTAACTTTAGTTTCTCATAGGTAAGATAGGTCTAGTGACCTAGTATTTCTTCCTATAGGGGTGTTTGATATGAAAGAGGAGATTTTTAACCAGAGCCATTCCAAGAAGACCACATCTTGTCCTAACACACAGAGACATATCAATTTAAAATTGCATAAGACCACGTACAAAACAGGAGACCAGAAAGCATCCAGGAGGAAAACAATAAAAGCTTTAACAAACAGACCTAAAGGACATCAGGAAAAGAATAGTAAGCCTCTGGAATCCTCATCCTCAGCACCAGTACCAGGAGACAATATACACGTACATTCAAAGTTCTGAGTACAGAGGATGTTTGTACCCAGAATTCTGTGTAAAAGAGTCTACAGAATTCTGATTAGGACATTTTTTAAGAGTCCATATCTAGCTGGAGGCTGAAACCTCTGTCATTTGAAGTGTTGCAGAACAAGGAATTCAGAATGCAATTAAGTGGTATCAACTTAGTAAAGGGTCTGACCTGTTTACTCGTTTGCAATCTAACATGTTCAGCAATCACAACTTCATAAATGATGGTAGCATGACCTGAGACTCCTGAGTCAGAGACAAAGAAGGTGCTTACTCCTGACATAGCAGGCAGCATGAGAATCTGTTCAGAGAGGCCCTTTTTGCTTGCTTGCTCACCAAGTCTGACGTGAACACTAAGGGGTGACCAGATGAATGGTGCTGATGGAGTAGGTTTTTGACTGAGTGAGGGACCCAAATGGATGATCCTCAGTCTCAAAAGGAGACATGAACAAAGCTGCCCAAGCTTTGCCCTACAGGAAGACGTTATCTTTACTGTCCTGGTCAAGGAACAAATCTGCCCTCTGCCCTGGAGAGAGACACTGTCTCTGGCCTCCCAGGCTGTTGGCTGTAAGAATATCCGTTAGAAAGTGTTGTAGTACAAAAGCTGTCACAGAATGTGTGGAAATGCTGTGGGCTGTTGTCTCCCAACAAGGAGGATCAAATGCTTGCTTGACATGGAGGGCGGATGCATTTCAGGCAGTGAAGGGAAGGATATTCAATACCTACGTGGATCAAGGCCACAGTGAACCAAGCGGGGCTCATTTGCACCCATGTGATGACTTAGAAAATGTTTCATGGGCATGCATTCCTAGAAAAGTAATTTTTTTTTTGAGATTGGGTGTTCTTTCTTACTGAGGCTGGAGTGCAGTGGCACGATCGCGGCTCACTGCAGCCTGGACTTCCCAGGCTCAGGTGATCCTCCCACCTCAGCTTCCTGAGTAGCTGGGACTACAGGCACACACCACTACTCCCAGCTAATTTTTGTACTTTGTGTAGACACAGGGTCTCACCATGTTGCCCAGGCTGGTCTCCAATTCCTGGGCTCAAGTGATTCACTCACCTCAGCCTCCCAAAGTTCTGGGATTATAGGCATGAGCCACCATGCCCAGCTGAGAATTAATTTTTTAAAATGTATTTCAACAAAGTGAGCTGGAAACCAAGAAACACCAAAAAATAGATCCACAAAACAATTATTGTGACCCAAAAATTCAAGAAAGAAAAATCCTAGGATGACAGCTACTCACAAACTTTAAGAACAACCATTCCAGACTGAATTCTGAGGCAGAAGGAGGTGACAAGAAAGTCTAAAGTCAATCAGAGGCCTTGATAGAAGTGTAGCAGAGTGAATGCCAGAAAGCAAACATTCCCAGATACAGCAATGCACACACTGAGACTTGTAAAATTCAACCCAAAAGTTAAAAAAGTGTCTTATTAAAGGTCACATGCCAACCAAATATGATATATCCAGTCCGCTGTAGAAGATGAAGCCAATGGGTTTCCACACAAAATCAAAAATTGTCATGAGGATAAAATGAATAAGGTGGCATTTTTTCATTTGACTTTTTACTAATTGAGTAAAGGCATTTTAGGTTTAAGTGAAAAGGGAATGTGGCATACGAGTATTCACACAGTAAGAAAATGGAGGTAATCAGAAACTTCATGAAAATAATTAGTTTTCAAAGAGTTATGAACCAAATGGATAACAGTCTAAATGGTGGCGTTCGTTTGAGCAACTGGGTTTGCTCAAGAAAACAGAAGGGTTTTGAAACAATTCCTTGGGGAAGTGGTCAGATTGTGCCTCACAATCTCTGAAATTATTAACGATGCTAATAATGAAGGCTGCTGGTTGTTTTTTCTTTTGAAATTAATCTGTAAACAAAACACACAATCTTATTTTGGGTTACAAAAATAATATAAATGTAATTAATCCTGTGAAAGTAAAAAAAAAAAAAGAAAGAAAAACTTGAAAGATATTTAAAAGCCATAGGCCGGGTGCAGTGGCTCACGCCTGTAATCCCAGCACTTTGGGAGGCTGAGGAGGGCGGATCACGAGGTCAAGAGATCCAGACCATCCAGGCTAACACGGTGAAACCCTGTCTCTACTAAAAATACAAAAAAAAAAATGAGCCGGGCATGGTGGCGGGTGCCTGTAGTCCCAGCTACTTGGGAGTCTGAGGCAGGAGAATGGCCAGAACCCGGGAGGCGGAGCTTGCAGTGAGTGGAGATTGTGCCACTGCACTCCAGCCTGGGCGACAGAGCGAGACTCCATCTCAAAAAAATAATAATAATAAGCCAGAAGGTGGGAGAAGGTTATTAACCAAGTTAGGAATCTAGGGAATATTCTGTAAAGTTAGTGAAATAGGGCATGGAGTTTAAGAAAATATTATAAATTATGAACAAATTAAATATGTAGAATTAAAGTAACTATATAATTATACTGTAAGCAATGGAAAAGGGAATGGCAGGGAAGAGTGTAGACAAATTCTACTTTTACTCCTCAGAGAAACAAGTCCCTAGATAAAGCTGATGAATTAAAAAATAATTACATGTGTCACATGGCAACCCTGGTAACCCTCATATGAAATTCTAAGTGAAGTCACTAAATGTGGGAGTCTCCCAGCAGCTGGGTAGGCTGGAGAGGAGGATGGGGAGGAAAGCGTGGATTTTAGTATGCGGCCCTGTGTTATTTGCTATTCTGATTTTTATTTTTGTTAAGAGCTAATCTAGAAGACAAGATATTTCTGAATATGTCATGCATAGCTTAATGCTGGGGCTATGTTCTGAGAAATGCATTTTTAGGTAATTTTGCCTTTTGTAGGAACATCATAGAGTGAACCTGCGTAAACCCAGATGGCAGAGGCTCCAGCACACCTGGGCTCTGGTGTACCCTGTTGCTCCTGGCTACAAACCCAGGCAGCCTGGGGCTGTACTGAATACTGCAGGCAATTTGCAACACAATGGTAAGTAAGCATTTGTGTTTCCAAACATATCAACGCATAGAAAAGGTACAGTGAAATATGGTATTATAATCTCATAGGACCACAACCAAAACCTCTTTATGGGACACATGACTGTATTACGTAGCTAATTATTTAAGCGATGAGAAAAGGACTAGAAATGTTCAAGGGTCTCAAACTGAAGACAGGCTTCTTCCATCATAATCATTCGTGAATCTTGTTAAACAGATAGATCCTCTAGCAACACCTGAATTCATCTTCAGTTGGTCTGGAATTCTGTGCAGGAATCTTCATTTTTAACAGACTTTCCTGGTTACCCTGCTGCGCAACTCATTCCGATAGGCACATCAAGTATTCTCCACCACGATTCCCATTGGGCTGAAACTCCCTAATGTAATCATCCCTAAAAACTGGGCAGCTTACACTGCTTTAAAAATTGCCACATAACTTAATATTGACTATAGTAATTGTTTTGACTAATGCGCTTGAAAATACTTACCTTTAATTCAGTCTCTTCCATTTCCTGAGACCCAGATTGGCTCTCAGGAGAAAACTGCATTGCAATGCGTGGCACTGGAATTGCTTACTTCTCACCTCTGGGAAGTGTGGCTTCTGTCTTGTACTGTAGTGTTGTTCTTCAGTTCCTGTTATTGATTACAAATGACATTGGCAATAATCATCACACAGATGCAAGCTAACCCATCCTGATGTATGTCAGATGGATAGAAGTTTTGTGTGATCTGTAGATGACAAGACCATTCACAGGATGCCTTAGGATCCAATTCCGTCTGCTGCACAAAGGAAGGAATAGACAAATGTGTCCCAACGATCCAATGGTATCAGCCATTCCCTTCCTGTAAGTGTGTGTCTGTGTGTCCCTCTGCACTCACTGGGTGTGTGAAGAAGCCATGTCTCTTCTCCCTGCTTGGATTTAACCCTCCTCTCTGCTGCTCTGTTTTCTTTTGTCTTTCCAAGGTTGACTTTAAGTCCAAGGAGGTGTGCCCTCGCTAGGCAGCACTGTGTTCCCACCCTTAGCTCCCTAAGCGAGCAATATGGAATCCTTTGCTACTTTGAGCTTCCTGGATAATTACCAATTTGTAACTTGATAAATGATTGGTCTTTTCAAGTTTCATGGTTGAAATCAATAAGTGGCATTTTCATTGCTCAAGGAAAAAGGAAAGTAAGAAAAAAGTTACACAGAGCGCTATGAAAGGGTTAATATCTGCCTATTGGAAAAGAGAAGGAGAGAGAGAGTCCCCGAGGGCCATGCTTCATCTTACTGTGTATTGAAATGTGAGCTGCAACCAACGGTCTGGTTAATAACAATTCATGCAGCTGTCAATCTTTTTGACCAATCTCATCAATATTTTACTCTGCAAAATAACAACAATTAAGAATCAGGACCAGGAGATGCACTTGGGGCAAAAGTGTTTCTAACACAGTGATGAAATCGACAGTCCAGAGCCAGCATTTCCGACAGGCATTCAGAGAAAGGTTAGCCTGTGATTGTTCTCTCCGAACAGTAGGCATCGCAGCTCTTTACCATAAACGAACACCAATGCACTGCACAGATACTGTAACTGAGGTCTGTAGAATTCAGACAAAAGTGATTCTGGGACAGTGATGACACTAACCCAAATTCACATCTACTCAGGACGTACCTGGGCTGGGCACTGTTTGAAATATAAGAAGAATTCAAAATTAAACAATTTGAATGAAAACAAATCTTGCCAAATGTCTACTTGATATAAAAGCTAGCATGCAATGCATACCAAAAAAATCAGATCTCCATTTTTTAAAAATTTTACTTTAAGTTCTTGGATACATGTGCTGAACGTGCAGGTTTGTTACATAGGTACACATATGCCATGGTGGTTTGCTGCACCTATCAACCTGTCATCTAGGTTTTAAGCCCTGCATGTATTAGGTATTTGTCCTAATGCTCTCCCTCCCCTTCCCCCCCACCCCCTGACAGGCCCCGGTGTGGGATGTTCCCCTCCCTGTGTCCATGTGTTCTCACTGTTCCCAATTCCATTTGGAGAGGTTTTAAGAAAAGTGAAATTGGCCTCGTTGTATTTATCATCCTTATTAGTGAAAATGCAAGCTGCAAGGCATCATATTGAAAATTCTGTTTTACTTATTACATAAATGCTAGTAGAGCTTTTTTATATTTTCATGTTATTTTAGGTTCAGATTTTATGCCTTGTGCTTTTGCATTGATGTTCACCAACTAGAGACAACCGAAATTACACCTGCAGTCACAGTCCAAAGTTGGGTCCACTTTCCTCTGTGGAGCCAAAGAAAGCAGACACTGGGGAGCCCTGTGGGTAGGAAGGATGTAGGGTGGGGCTGCTCCAGGGTGACTCTGGGCAGGACCCAACATCTGGAAGGTACGGCTGCTCTGCATGGGATGTGGGCTCTAACTGGAGGTCACTTGGTGATTCCGTATCTCAGTAGCTTCCTGTCCCAGAGCTGGGAATGATCGCGGAGGCCTGGAGTTGTACTGGTAAGAAAATAGGGATCACTCAAAAAGAACACATTTTTTTTTTGCAGTTGTGCCTCTACCAATATTCTGATATCTATAATCTGATGAAACACTGTTTCTGTTAAAGAAATAGAGAAAATGGAAAAGCGAAGGTTTTGCCTAGCAAAAGGGAGTCGGACTCTTACAGAGGGGCAAGCAGCTAAACTTCCCAGCCAAAGTGGCTTTCCCTGCATTGGCTGCTCTCTCTGTTTGGATCTTCCCCTTTGCTCACGTTAGTGATGGTTTAGGATGAGTGACTTGAAGCAGGTACTGCATCAGGAAGGGATTTCAGCTGCAACCCACCAAAACCAACTCAGTTCAATTAAAAGAGAACAAGACATAGTTAAAGAACTTTAAGGAGGTGCTTAGTTTTACTGGAGAATCACATTTTTCCACTCACTTTCCCACTCTACCTGAAGGACGATGTCATGCCTTCTCCTTCTTGTCAAACTTGCAACCTAAATTCATAATTTTGTGTCGATCACACACACACACACACACACACACACACACGGAAAATACAATTAAAGCCATTAGAAAAGATGCCACTAGAACATTTGTCTACTTACTTGTATCTCAGTCCACAGTTTCAGTGGAAACTTTAGTCGGCATGGTGGCTGGCGCCTGTAATCCCAGCTACTCTGGAGGCTGAGACAGGAGAATCACTTGAATCCAGGAGGCAGAGGTTGCAGTGAGCTGAGGTGGTGCCACTGCACTCCAGCCTGGGTGACAAGAGTCAAACTCTGTTTCAAAAAAAAAAACAGAAAGAAAGAAAGAAAGCCTAAAGCAGTTGTTCATAAACATACAGGGGCAGAGTCATAAACATACAGGGGCAGAGATGGGTCTTTAACATAGATAGTCTGACTCTAAATTAGTTATAAATAATTTGTTATTAAATAACACACATCTATACAAAAATTCAAAAACAGTGTGAATCTAATTGTATTTGATATCTGAATTCCAAGTGTGCTGATTTTTGTCAGTAATCAATGTGATCTGGACCCTGTTCAACATTAAGAAGCACGAACAAGATCCTCAGGTAATTACTAAATGTGAAACGATGGCAGGAAACATTTATTCCTGCCTATTGGCGGAATCTCCTCTACTAATTTCTGGACAAGGTTGACAGTTGCATAGTGATGACATCAACTGGGCTTTGGAATTTAGTTGTATGTAGGGAGAGTGCATAAAATCCAATTGCAACACTTGGACTGACTTACCCATCTCCACGAATGCCTGGACTCATTGCAGGCCCCTAGCAAGGCCTGCAGTATTCTTCTAGAATGAAATATTTTCACCACAGTCAAGCAGAATAATGCTACTAAGGATGAGGATTGAATATACTGTATCAAAATTTCTATTTTTCATGATTGAGGCTAGCAAAAAGCAAAGGACCAAATCAATTTTCTGACCTGGTAAAATGACTTCATATCCTCCCAGAAACTGAAGACATTATAAATGTAATATATTTTAAACTTTCTTACACTAAGGTGTAAGGTAGAAAATACAATTATTTTGTTGGATACTTTAAAAAAACATCATATTTTCAGTTTCTACATTAGCAAGTATTAGCATTTTAAATAAAATAAAAACAATTTTAATAAAGGACATTGGTTATAATAATCTCTTTTCTAGCTATAAAATCGAATCTGCTTTAATGCTTGCATTTATGATGCTTTTGGTGAAAAACCATGCTGCATCATGGTCAGGAAAAGAAGTGAGGAATAGCGTTTAGAATGAATAGTGTTATAAGCATTTTAGCCTCCATTCGGAAATACCGCTTATCACTTTTATGAAGATTTAGGACCAGGACTAAGAAGACTGGGTTGTGACCTTTGGGTTTGAGCTAATCACACAAACTCTTATGAAAAGTAGGGGTGATAGTTTTATCTTGTATGATAAATACACACATATTTTGCAGAGATATTGATATTCTTATTTTAATAATCACTAAATTCAGAGATGTTACATTGGCTTGAAAGCATATAACATCTATAATATTTTATAAATATATAGAATATAAAAATCTTGACTTTAATGAATTTTACTATTTAGAACCTATGCTCTTGTTAAGAATAAATGGATGTGACAAAGTTGGCAATCTCTAAATTACCTGAACCGATCACGTGAATTAGTTATAGAGAGCAATCTTTCCAGAAAGCATGACTTTCACATCTATACCACGCTATTCTATGAGGGTCTAGGTTGCTGGAAATGGCTTTAGTGGCAATTTCTTTAAGCACTTGAGGTTAATCTACTAGTATAATCAAGAACTCGTCTTTTGACACACAAATTGCCACACCGTAATGTGAATCAGGTATCTGCCTTCAGTCAGGACCATGGTCACCTGAAATGCTTGATCAAACTAGGGGGTATTTAATCGCTTCTTTTCTGGGCAGACAGCACATGGCTTTTGTAGGTTCTCAAAGGCTGGGAAACTTCCTTTGTAGATTATGTCCTTTGTCGCCACAAAATCCCTTTCATTGAGCTGTATTTTGTTCTTATTTTCTACCATGAACTTTAAATGCAGAAGTTCTCGTGAAACGATCACAGGGGTGCAAGGATTGTATATATTTATTTATTGGGGGAATTTTGCCTTCTAAAGTCGTGCCCAGTCTAAGGCCACACAGGAGGATTGCACTTGTCCTGCAGTGTTGGGGGCACTGCTCCGGGCGTCTCCAGGGCGCTCCCATCACAGTGCTCTCCTGCATGAAGGCTGCCCCTCACACTGCCCTTCTCTGACCTGGGACCCATCCTGGGCCACACAGGAGGATTGCACTTGTCCTGCAATGTTGGGGGCACTGCCCCGGGCGTCTCCAGGGCGCTCCCATCACAGTGCTCTCCTGCATGAAGGCTGCCCCTCACGCTGCCCTTCTCTGACCTGGGACCCATCCTGGGCCACACAGGAGGATTGCACTTGTCCTGCAGTGTTGGGGGCACTGCCCCGGGCGTCTCCAGGGGCTCCCATCACAGTGCTCTCCTGCATGAAGGCTGCCCCTCACGCTGCCCTTCTCCGACCTGGGGCCCACCTGGGCCACACAGGAGGATTGCACTTGTCCTGCAGTGTTGGGGGCACTGCTCCGGGCGTCTCTAGGGCGCTCCCATCACAGTGCTCTCCTGCATGAAGGCTGCCCCTCACGCTGCCCTTCTCTGACCTGGGACCCATCCTGGGCCACACAGGAGGATTGCACTTGTCCTGCAGTGTCAGGGGCGCTGCTTCTGGCATCTCCAGGGTGCACTCACATCAGGGTGCCCTCACTGCGTGCAAGCTGCACTGCACACTGCCGCTCTCTGCCCTGGGACCCATCCTGCACCACACAGGAGGATTGCATTTGTCCTGCATTGTCAGGGGCGCTGCTTCTGGCATCTCCAGGGCGTGCTCGCATCACGGTGCCCTCACTGCACGCAGGCTGCACCGCACACTGCCCCTCTCTGCCCTGGGATACATCCTGGGCCAAAGGGACGGAGACCTCCTTCTTCACAGGGCTTCCATCCTGTGTCTTCACCAGCTTTCACTCCAATGCGAGCCATGGGCATTTAGAAATGTATGACTGATTGCATTTCCTCCCTTGTTTTGGGTATCAGGAAGTTCTCCCACCTATTTATAACCAATCATCACCATTGTACGGGGTTCTACAGCCTGGATTTCTACAAATCCACTTTTCCTTTATTGCATTTCCCTTCCTCCTAACTTGTTTTATTTATATTTTGAAATCACTCTAAGTTCCCTTGAAAATGAAGCAACAAACAAAATCTAAAAGGAAAGCAACCTTGGTCAATTATTAACAGATGGTTTAAAGCGGGGTGTATATTTTTACTTAATGAAATACCTCACAATTCACTGTATCGGAGTGACTTCGAATGCATGTTACATTTACTTATTTCTCTTGGATTTTTGAATTATCTGGAATAAAGCCCCAAGTGAAACAACATGCTTCATGAAAATTCTGCAACTTTTGGGTAGATTTTTTTTTAAACAGCCGTACGGCAAACCTAGGTGTGTTGACTGCAGTTGGTCGGATGTAGGATTGGTTACATAATGTGTGAACCCACTGCAAAAGAAAAATGCAGCTTCACTTGCTGAAGACATTAAGAATTTCTTGCCCCCACCCCGGGGAGTTCTTTGTGACTGGAAGGCTCCCGTGCCCACCAAGTTGACCTTGTTCTTAGGAAGGTTCAAGTCACATTTTTCATGGAGTTTAATTTTCCTTTTTCAGTACAAGTTGTGGAAAGTGAATCTTGAGAGGACTATTTTACAGTGTGAGTGTGCAGACGGGTGTGACATTTTTCAATAGCTCAGTCTTCCACATGTGGAGCTGCAGGCAGGATGTTCACCCAGTCTGTGAGAGTGCGGCCACTGGGTTGCAGAGCGGGTGCCATTGCTCTGCTCTTAAACGACTGCTGCTGGTGACCCAGGGAACTCGATGCCAGGGTCTTCAAGCATCAGGGACACTAGGAGAACACCACACATTGTGAAAACGTGGCGGCATGACATTAATTCCATGTGTGAATTTCACACAGTCATTTAAATGGTTGGGTAGAAATGTCATCATCTGTGAACGGAGGGGAGGACTAGCCTGTTTCTAAAATCCAGCTCCCAAGGACTTCTTGGTGGTGTCGGTGAAGGAGAGAAGATCAGGTTGGGGGGTGGTGGGGCGGGGCTGGGCATGCAGTTTCCTGAAGCCCACAAGGATCCTGCCAGGGAGTGTGAGGAGCTCTGGTCAATAAGTACACTGAGGAGCCAACATGTGCTGCTTCTGCGTGGAGCCACTGACCGCATCTGTGGGCTCCTTACTCCCCTTTTTCCCCTGATGTGCTGGACTCTGGGTCATGTGTGGAGGTAGTGAAGCTGCAAGGTGAACCAGTGCTCATCATGGCCTAGAAGGAGGCAGCCTGAGCCACTGCCAGATGTCGAGCGGCCTCTGAATGATAAAACAAACCACCAAAACCGTTCTGTGTTGAACTGCTGTGATTTGGAGGTTCACTGGGGAGTTACTGGTTTGCACTGAACAGCCTGGTGGATTAGCTTCCCAGGGCTGCTGTAACAAATGACCACAAATTGGGTGACTTAAAACAACATACATTTATTATCTCACAGCTGTGAAGGCCAGAAGTCCCTCCAGGTGTGCGGGGGCTAGTCCCTTCTTAAGGACTCAGCGGGAGAATCTGTCCCATGCTTTGCTCCTAGCTTCCATGGGCTGTCAGGAGCCCTTGGCATCCTTTGGCTTGTAGACACAGCACTCCGACCTCTCCCTCCCTCTCCACGCGGGCTTTCCTCTCTATGCCTCTATGTCTCCAATCTCCCTCTCCTTTCTCCTGTACAAACAATAGTCATTGCCTTTAGAGTCCACCCCGGTCCTCTAGGATGATCTCTTCTTGAGATCCTTCATGTGATTACATCTGCAAAGACTCTATTTCCAAATAAGGGCGCATTCACCAACACCAGGCATTAGGAAATGAACGTACATATGAAGGGGCCACTCTTCAACCCATGCCCGTAGTTCGTCCTGACTGATTCAGGCCTATCCTCTGAACTAGCTCAGTTACCTCCTAAGCCTTTTCAGACTTCGGATTGAAAAAGAAACTTACATCTATGAGGTGGAAAGCCAGTGGGCCAAAGCTATTCGGGAGATGTATTATTTATAGAATTTGGAAGAAAAAAGAGCTAAGTTGGTGTAGGGGCAGGAAGGAGCTGCTCATCTTACATACTCGAAGGACAAGATTCTAATTGGCATTTGGCTGGAGACCTGGGTCTAAGGGCCAAGTGGGAGGGACTGGGTTCTTTTTTTTTTGAGACAGAGTCTTACTCTGTCACCCAGGCTGAAGTGCAGTGGCACATTCTCGTCTCACTGCAACCTCCGGGGAGGAGCTGGGTTCTTAAGAGTGTTTTTGAATTCTTATGGTCCTCGGAAAACCCTAGAAAAAGGGACAAAAAAGGGTCAAGTCTTCTACCAGTCCCTCCCATTCCAAGAATGACTGATGTCCTAACTTCACCTGACATTCTTGGGTGGAGAATTGTGATCTTTTTTATTCCAAAAATCTTTTATTCTAAGGAGTGTTACGGGTTGGTTAAATACATTTGCCAAAAAAAGCATAATAATAATATCTGAAAGAATCCACAAAAAAGAAAACTCCTGCAAACAAAAAGTGATTATAGGAAGACTGTAGAATACAAGATTGCAATATACAGAAGTCAATGGTAACTTACTCAAAAGCTATAGCAATCAAGCCAGTGTGATATTGGCTAAAGAAGAAACAAATAGATCAATGGCACGGAATAGAAAGCCCGGAAATGGACTCACACAAATAGAATCAACTGACCTCTGACCAAGAAGCAAAACCAATACAGTAGAGAAAAGATAGTCTTTTCAACAAATGGTGCTGGCACAACTGGACATCCCATGCAAAAGGAAAAAAAAAGAAAGATCTTACACCCTTTAAACATATTAACTCAAATACATCAGAGACCTAAATGTAAAATGAAAATCTATAAAATTCCTAGAAGATACAGAGGAGGAAATCTAGATGACCTTAGGTACGGCAATGACTTTTAAAATATACCACCAAAGGCAAGATCTGTAAAAAAATTAATAAGCCAGACTTCATTAAAATTAAAAACTTCTGCTATGTGGCAGATAATATCATGAGAATTAGGAGTAGTTTTTAATTTTGTTTTCTCATTGTTCAGATAGAGAGCTGGTGTCGAGAATATGCAAAGAACTTTTCATAGTGAACAATGAGAAAACAAAATTTATTTTTAAATGTGCAGGAGATCTCCTCACTAAAGAGGACATGCAGAGGGCAAAGCAACACATGAAAAGATGTTCCACATCATTGCTCTACCTCATACGTCATCAGAGAAGGACACAGTGAACAGCAATCAGGTTCATTAGCCACTACAGACCCGTTAGCATGGCCAGAATACAGAACACTGACAACGCCAGGTGCTGGTGAGGATGTGGAGCAGCAGGAACACTCATCCACTGCTGGTGGGAGATCAAAATGGCTCAGCCGCTTTGGAAGACAATTAGGCAGTTTCTCATAAAACTAAACACACTCTTAGCATGTGATCCAACAATTGCAGTCCTTGGCACTTACCTAAATAAGCTGAAAACTTGCTTCCACACAAAATCCTGTGTGAGCATGCTCATAGCAGCTTTATTCATCATTGCCAAAACTTGGAAGCCACCAAGATGCCCATCAATGGATGAATGGATAAACTGCAGTACACCCAGACAATGGGATATTCTTCTAGCTGAAAAAAGAAATGGGCTCTCAAGCCGTGAAAAAGGATGGAGAAGACTTAAATGCATGTCACTAAGTGAAGGATGGCAATCTGAAAAGCCTGCATACTATCTGATTCCAATTAAAGGGCATTCTGGAAAAAGTACAACTAGGGAGACAGTAAAAAGATCAGTGGTTGCCAGGGGTTGGGGGAAGGGAGGGGTGACTAGGAGGAGCACGGGGTTTTTAGGACAGCGATGTTTAGGGCACGTTGCATGATGTTACGGTGATGGATCTATATCGTTCTAAATTTGCCACACCCACAGGATAAGCAACCCCAAGAGTGGGCCCTCGTGTGAACTGTGGACTCTGGGGGGTGATGCTGTGTTCTGTTGGTTCATTGATTGTAACAGAGGCACCACCAAGTTGGGGACATTGATAGTGGGGGAGGCTGTACGTGTGCAGGGGCAGGGGTTAAATGGGAGCTCTCTATTACATTGAGCTTTCTGCTCAATTATTCTGTGAACTTAAAACTACTCTAAAAATAAGCCTATTAAATTTTTAAGGATCAGTAAGAATTTAGTGCCCATTACTCTAAAGAATGTGGTGTCATTGAAATACCGGCTTTTATTGTAAATCATAAAATACATAGGCAAAGAAGCAGGCATTGCCTTGTGCAGAAGAGCCCCTTCTGGGTAAAGTTCATCTGGATAGGTGCTTCCTAGGATCTCATTTTTATGTCTTATTTCCCCTAATCATAGGTTTTATGCCTCCAGATAAATCTTTTTCCATCTTTTTCTGTCTTGGCTTAAGTGTTGAATGTGGACCCAAATGTCATTTTCTCCATTTCCCAATTTCCCTTCGTCTTGGAAACAGATGATGGGCAGGCATTCTCCCACACGGTGGTTTCCTGCCTGGAAAGGTTACCCTCAGGCTTGGGACATTTGAACCCTGCATAAATAATAACTTGTAAACAAGTACTCTGCGGATAATTGCCCGAAAGCTGAACCAAGCCCTGGAGAGCCATGGCTCTCATTGCAATTTGTGCCCCTCGTTTTTCAATTTGAAAGAGCTTGTCAGATTTCCTGACACTCACACCAATGCCTCCTGGTTTCTGCTGCGGATACATTTTCATTATCCTTAATTGGTGTTAAGTACCAGCGCCCTGCCAATGATGCCTGTCACCGTGCTGGTCCGGTGTAAGTATCATTAGCTCGCCTGTTTACCCTCCCGATATGGAATAAGTTAGAAACATTACAGGAAGTGGGCTAAAAGCACTGATAACATATTTGCATTGTGTCAAATTGCCAGGCTTTGCACAAGCTAACAATTTATTTTCTCCCCATAACTGTGAATGGTACACATTTTGTGGCTTACACTGCAATTTTTGTTTAAAAGGCATTATTGCCTACAATCTCAGTTCATTTGCTGCGAGTCTGTAAATGGCCATCTTTCGTATCAAAAATTTCAGTATAAGTACTGATCGGCAGGTTAATATTATAGAAAGTACGCCCTGGGGGAGTATAAAAAGATGGTTGGATTTTAGAACCTAGTAAAATAATAGCTCTTTCCTCCAAAATGGGAATAGTTTAATCAGCAAAATGATTTCAGCAAATATGTCCCTTCCTGGCATGTCTGTTTACTTGAGTGATACTTCATCAAACTCTTACACTTTCTCATGGTGTACTTTTCTTTGTTTTGGACGTTCATATTAAATGTTATGTTGGTTTTCTAGAAACATAATGTGATTAGAAACATAATGTGACGTATCCTGCCTTGTGAATGAATGAAATAAACCTGCATATATTTGCAAGTAAAAAGCTCATCGTAGGTTCCCTTGAGTTCACCGTGAGGTAGCTCGTGGTGGAAACTCTCACAACGCAGTCTTCTAGGTACCAAACCCCATCCCTTAAGTGGGTTATGATAGCCCCTTTAATATGATTTAGTCAAAAAATTTACATAAAATGCCTTGTACATGGGATTTCCTCACATGGTCGTCATTCAAGTGATCAAATGGTGACAATGCTGATGGCTGCCAGCGACTCCAGGTCAGCCACCACCCAGAATGGGGGGCACATGTGTGCAGCCACCACCTAGCATGGGGGACGCGTGTGTGGCAGCCACCGCCCAGCATGGGGGACACATGTGTGGCAGCCCTGGCATAGCTCAGTAGGACTGGCACTGTTATCTCATTCTGCAGTCAGGAAAACCAGGGCTCAAAAGACTGATGGTGGCGCTTGAGGCTCTGGAGAAAGGCTGTGATGAACGAGGACCGGTCCCAGGCCTGCCGGGACATGCCCTGTATCCTGCCTTAACAGGCATTTCTCTACCCCTAGTGATTCTCCTCATCCATCGTAGAAAGAGGAACCCTGACGTGGGGTGAGGCAGGATCCCCTCCCCAAGTGGCGGGCTGTGTGAAGTGTGCGAGTTCTCACCCTGAACACACCCACCGCATTCCTGCCTTGCCCTCTGCCACACTAGCTGAGAGGGAGCTCTCAGAGGAGGAGGGCCACCTCCAGCAGCTATTAACCATGCCCTTCCAGGCAGGACGCTGAGGCTTGGCACAGGTTGCTGGCAGGAGGCAAGGAGTCAGTGCAAAAATAAAATAAAAAAAGGGAGTCCTTAGCAACGAGATCTCTGATAGTAATGGGTAACCCTGCCCTTGAAAATAAACTCAAAATTATTTCTGGAATCTTTTCAAAACAATTCAGTTGTTTATATTTTTGTCTGCTTAAATTGCAGGATCCTGACACACACACACATTCACCACACTGGACATACTTCACACGTACACTCATACACACAGGCGTACACACATGCATACATACACATGCACACACACCTTCACACTTCTTAACCCAGTATCCCCCAAAGTTAAGACTCCATGTCTTCTCTTCACTTTCCAGTAAAACTTTGTGAAAAAAAATTGGCCAACTTGCTAGTCTCCTATTCCTCTCCTCTCATTCTCTCTCATACCCTCTCCATCTTTTCTTTCCCCCTACCATTCTCACATGATCTTTCTTGAAAAAGTAATTAAAGTCTATTGCTGAATGCACACTTTGTCAGGCAAGACATCAAGATTTTCACAGGGAGCTCATCCCTTAATATTCTTAATAATATATAGATTGGGGATTGCTCTTAATGAATAATAAGAATAACACATATTGAGATGATTATGAATACCAAAATTCTTAATAATCTCATGTTATAAATGACGCACAGAAAGGTTAAGTAACTCTCCCAAAGTCACACCGCTAATTCAGTGCAAAGCCAAGAATTAACAAAGTCAAGGAGTCCAGCTCCAGATCCAGGGGTTGAAACCACTACTCCAGGCTGCCAGTCTGGTTCTCTCCAACAGCTGCTACATACCTCTTACAGATGTACTTTGTGACCGAAAAAAAAAAAAAAAAATAGTTACTACCAGGATTTTCTGAATCATGCTTGAATTAAAATATAAATAAAAGCAAAACATTATATATGAAACTCCCTTGACATTTTCTTGGAAATCATTCATAATAAACTCAAAATGTAATTTAGGAGAGAAAAAAGAATTTTTAGAAATTCTTTTTTCTAAAAGATGGTCTCCTTATTTAAGACTTTGTCGAATTTACTTGAAAAATAATTTTCCAAAATGTGTGCATCTCCATCAAACCAGAGCATCCACGTGACTCAACTAAAAGTTATTTTTTGCAAAAGAAAAGTGGTACAGGACAGCCCAATAATTTATATCATTCTATTATAAATTTATTTGAAAGACCCTATGACCATTAAATATTCCAGTTAAGCTGATACATGCTGTAAAATATATTGTTCTAGTTGTTTTCAAGGAGTAAAATGTTCCCAATTATG